>NC_000007.14:143700804-143852319 GCF_000001405.40 Homo sapiens
GAATTCTACAGGAAATGCAGGGCATGCTCAGAATGCCAACCTTTCCGAGCTTGGAGAGATTTAGTGGAAGAAAGTAGCAGGAAAAACGTCCAGTAATCACTGGCATGCCAGACCCTGGAGAAGCCAGGCTGAGGCGCTCTGCAAGTTTCACCTTAGAGAGAGTGGACGAAATGTAACGGTTCTTGTTAGAGTTCTTGTAGAGGACGATTGTGGATGAGAATACATCCTGGGGACTAAAACCATATTGGTTTAGTCTGGAATGATTGCCAACTAAAGGGACTGATGTTTGAGAGAGATGGTGAGAGATTAACCAAATGAGGTGGTTGACTGCATATAGAAGCAGGAGGGAGAGAGGAAGGAGGCACTTGTGGCTCAAGGGCTTGGTGTGTGTTTTAGTTTAGATTCTGCCCTAAAGCAAAGCCTTATGCAAGGGCTTACCTGCAGGTAATTTTTTGGGGGTAAGTGAGACCAAAAAGCCCAAATGAGGAAGTGGAGAGAATGAGACAAGGAAAAAAGGGAAAGCCAGGAGGAGCATGTGGCTGAGGGTCTTCCACATGGCGCTCCTTTCCTCCGGGTGCCTTCCGAGGACCTCTGATGGGCACCTCGGGAAAGCCACGGGGCACTCTTCTGTGAATCCCCGCTCTACTGGGCGAAGCTCACCCTAGTGTCAACTCACCGCTACTTCAGGGCTGCCTTGTGCACCTGCAGAGGTGAGAAGCCATCAGAGCACAGAGGAAAGTCCCTTACAGTGGGCTCGTCAGAGACGCGCAAAGGGAGGCGGCACAGGCAGCCAGGGGACTACTGCACTACTGCAATCTGCAACGCTGCCCTCGGCAACCCGGGAAACTTAAAAGGACAGCAAAGGGACAGACACTCTCGTTTATTCCGTGCTCACTGTATGTGTACCAACCCCAGACAAGGCATTTTTAGACATATTCTTTGCTTTATTTTATTTTACTTTATTTTATTTTATTTTATTTTATTTTATTTTATTTTATTTTATTTTATTTTATTTTATTTTATTTTTTGAGGCAGAGTCTTGTTCTCTCGCACAGGCTAGAGTCCACTGGTGCGATATCGGCTCACTGCAACCTCCGCCCCCCACCGTCAGGGTTCAAGAAATTCTCATGACTCAGCCTCCCCAAGTGGCTGGGATTACAGGTGCACGCCACCATGCCCAGCTATTTTTTGTAGATTTAGTAGAGACAGGTTTCGCCATGTTGGCCAGGCTGGTCTCAAACTCCTGAGCTCAGGTGATCCACCGGCCTCGGCCTCCTAAAGTGCTGGGATTACAGACATAAGCCACTGCGCCTGGCCTATCCATATTCCTTTAATCTTCAAAAACAATCTTCCCATGGCTGTATTATTCTCTTTTTGTAGATGGGGAAACTGAGACTGAAGTCATTTATCCAAGAGGGGCTGCTTAAAGGGACAAATAGTCTCAGTGTTAGGCACAGCCAATTTTAAAAGACCTCCGGAAACTGCATAATGCTACCAAATAGAGGAGGGTCCTCTCCATTAGGGCAGATTTGATAAATTAGGGGGCACTTTCCAACTTAGCAAAGCTGTCAGAAGAAAGGCATGTTTTGACAGGTCTATGACCTTTCTGTTCAAAAAAATCAAGCACTGTGTCCACTCAGGCACACGAACTTAACTATCACCTTGATTTACTGGCCCTGCAGGATCTAGCCCGTCCCTCCCTCCTCCTGGGGTCCTGCTCCTCCCTGCTCCTGGCTCTCAGCCACCCCAAAGTGGTCTCGTTGCTGGAATGCCCTTTGCTCACTGCATTTCAGGTTTCAGCTTCAATGCCACTTTGTCAGAGTCCTTTCCTATCACCCAATCTAAAGTAGTCTTCCAGTTCCTCCATGTCACATCATTGTGTTTTATTTTCATCATAGTGATTGTTGCATTTTATTTATCTGTTTATCTACCTATTTATTCATTATCTTTCTCCTTCTAAAATATTCAAATCACGAAAAGGGAAACCTTATCTGTTTTGTTTCTTGCTGTACTCCCAGTGCTAGAACAGTGCTTGGCCCACAATGGGGAATCCAGTAAAATTTGGAGGTGAATGCATTTAGTTGTTTGCTTTTTTCACCTGTTCCTTCATCTGTTCTGACCAGCAGTGCTTATCAGTATCTCTTAAATACATGAAAGTCTTTGCTTCCCCCTGCAGCAGCTGATAGAACCATGGCGACCATTGCTGCTGCTGCGTTTGAGGCCCTCATGGATGGAGTGACATGCTGGGATGTCCCCAGAGGCCCCATCCCCAGTGAACTCCTTCTTATTGGAGAAGCCGCCTTCCCCGTGATGGTGAATGACAAGGGCCAGGTGCTCATTGCTGCCTCCTCCTACGGCCGAGGCCGCCTCGTGGTTGTGTCCCATGAGGGCTACCTGTCGCATACTGGCTTGGCTCCATTTCTCCTCAATGCAGTGAGCTGGCTCTGTCCCTGTCCTGGGGCTCCCGTGGGAGTGCATCCATCCCTGGCACCTCTAGTAAACATCCTACAGGATGCTGGGCTTGAGGCACAGGTCAAGCCAGAACCAGGAGAGCCCCTAGGGGTTTACTGTATCAATGCCTACAATGACACCTTGACTGCAACGCTGATCCAGTTTGTGAAACATGGAGGGGGCTTGTTAATCGGGGGCCAGGCCTGGTACTGGGCCAGCCAGCACGGCCCTGACAAGGTGCTCTCCAGGTTCCCTGGGAACAAGGTGACAAGTGTAGCTGGAGTGTACTTCACTGACACCTATGGGGACAGAGACCGGTTCAAGGTCTCTAAGAAGGTGCCCAAGATCCCACTCCATGTCAGGTGAGTGTTTGTTCCCCTCTTAGGGAGTCTGACTCAGGATAAACAATAGAGTTGGTTCCCCTCTTCAACAAGCTTCCATTGCAATACAGGTGATTTTCCACTCAGTTTGGAACCACCACAAATCAAAAGCAGGATGATTAAAATGCACCAAGACACAAGAGAGGCTGGGCCCTCACTGCCACTCCCTCCTGTGGCCAAAGCTGAATAGAAAAGCTTGTCTTACCACTTTATCTCCATGTCTAGTAAATAGAACCTAGAGAGTGCTCATCAGTACCTCTTAAATGCATGAAAGAATATTTGTTTGTTTGCGTGAGCACCGATTGTTGATCATGCTGCATTCTGGACAATGGGGGTCTAGCAGAGATCGAGGCAGGCAAGTCATGCCATCATGAGGTTTGTATTCCAGGGGAGAGATAGGTATTAAGGAAACTAATATATATGTGCTCTATCAGGTATTGCTAAGATCCATGAAAGATGATAATATAAGTGGATAGCATGACAACAGGAAGGCTGATGGAGGCTATTTTATTTAAGACGTTCAGGGAAGTCCTATCAGTCAGACCAAGTTGGATTGGTCAGGATTTGTTGGCGTTGCTAGCAGAAGGGATTTAGTATGGGGAATTGACTATACCCATGATAGAGGAGCTGAAAATACACACAGGGGACAGCAAGTAACCCAGAGATCAGCAACAGCAGAACCAGCAGAGGGAGATGGTGGTATTACTGAAGTCCAGGTGCTGCGGCCACCTGGTAGAAGCTGGAGCCATGCTATGCCTTCCCAGCAGGAGCTGGAACCACAGATGAAAGGTCTGTCTGCTAGAAGCTGGAGTCTCAGAGAAGACACTGTGGTTACCAGAAATACAGCCTGAAGAGAGAAGCAAACACTTAAACTCCTTCCTTCTTCCTTCCTGATTTCAGTCTTCTACCTCTCTCTCCCATGGGCTGAACCCACCAGGATCCAGGGAACAGGAGAACCAAAGAAATGCAGTTTTCTGCAACACGGAGGATGACCAAGATGAAAGGGGAATAGAGATGAGTGCAAACAAGCTCATGGCCGGCTTGGAAGGCTGGTCTGGTAGGTAGCACTTGAAAGGAGACCTCAAGGAAGTGAGGGAATGAGCCATGTGGGCATCTGTGAGAGGAAGATTCCAGGCAGAGTGAGGAGTGAGGGTGAGAAAACCTGGAAGGGAAGCCTGCTTAGTATGTTCCAAGGGAAAGGGAGTGGCCCTTCTATAAGGTCGGAAGGCTCTGCAAAGCTCCAGGGGAGAATAGCTGAAGGCAGCTGTTCTGTGACCCTGAGGCAGAGGGCAAGGAGTAGGTACAAGGGAGTGTAGGAGAATTTGTCTTGATCAAGCCTGTTTGTTTGAAGTTGTCCAGGAGCTGACATTTGAACATCCGCACACATGATGTTCTCTGAATGAGGAACAATAAATGTTAGTCATTTACAGATTGTGTAGGCTCCAGGCTTTCGGCATTATGCCTGCAGTAAATAAAAGCAAGCAGCTTCAGCTTCTCGGGGCTGCTCTCTGGCCACTACAGCCAGGCAGTCACCTAGCTGTTCTTACACTGCATACTTGTGTCTGAGTACTCATTTCATCCATTGGCCAGGGACACACCTGGCAATCAGGGAAGCCAGAATGATGGGAACTCAGTGAATGATAGCTCAGGTCATGTAAGAACTGACAGGCCAGGAGTAGAACTTTAGACCTTATTTGCAGTGAGATGGGAAGACATTTTGTATTCTCTACAGAAGATTGCTATGATGTGACTTAAATTTCAAAAGGAACCCTCTGATTGATGGTGGAGAACAGACTGTGGGAGGCAAAGATTGAAGCAGCAGACCAATCGGGAGGCCACTGAAGTAGACCACAGGAGAGATGGTGGTGGCCCAGACAAGACTGATAGAAGCTGTGGAGCTACTGAGAACAGGTTCCATTCTGGACACACCTCAAAGGGAGAACCCAACAGGCTTGGCTGATGGAGTGAGTAAGGAAAAAGAGGAGTTGAGATTTTTGGTCTGAAAAAGACCAAAAATTAAACACAGGTGCTGCTGTTTAGTGATCTGTGAAAGGACAATGAGAAGATGGATTAGAGGAGATCAGGAGTCTCATTTTGGATGTTTTAGGTTTCAGATATTAGTGACTACTTACTTATGTTTGGCCACATGTAGCAGAAGCCTTAGTATAGCAGATTAACCATGTAGCAGTTTATTTTTTCTATGAAACATGAAGTACAGGTAGGTAGTCCAGCTCTGGGGCAGTGACTCTATGATGTCCCATGGTCAGTCTCTGTCTCCCTGTCACTGCCTGACCCTGTCATGGTGTGTTATTTTATCCTTATGGCTACAAGTTTGCCACTACTACTCCAGGCACCATAATTACACCCATGCAATAATAAATTGGAATGGATACACCTACTTTTAGTTTATAAAACCATGTATTTCCTGGAAGCCCTAGACTTCTATTTATATTTTAACGGCCAGCCTAGTTAAATCAGTAGTCCCTAGCCTTTTGGTACCAGGACCTGTTTTGTAGAAGACAATTTTTCCATGGACCTGGCAGGAGTTTCAAGATAATTCAAGTGCATTACATTTATTATGCGCTTTATTTCTATCATTAGTACATTTTAATATATAATGAAATAATTATACAACCCACCATAATGTAGAATCAGTGGGAGGCCTGACTTCCAGACCTAACTACCAGGAGATCTGAAGGGCTGGCTATTTTTAAATGGGCACTGGCGTCTCTGAAGAAATCAAGATGCTGTACAAAGAAGAAGGGGCATACAGATACTAGTGAGCAGCTGGCAGTGCCCTGAACCCTCAGCCCCAAGCTCTGGACCTCTTTGAATTCCTTCCCTTCTGAGAGATTTGGGGAGGGGATGGGTTTACTCAGAGACATTGGAGTGGATCTGATTCGCTTCAACTTTTTTATTCTAATGCGAAGGGACAAGCAGGTGAAATCTCATCACTATAATGCCTCTTAATTGCCCCAAGGGATTCTCCTCTCTAGCTAACTCAACCTGTTTTTCTTCATCTATATCTACATTTTTAATCCCTGCCACCGATTCTAAGGTATATTTTGTGTGTTTGTTATTTTAATTCTTAATTACTGAAAATATTAAACATATGCAAAAGTAGACAGAATAGTACAATGAACCCCCATGTAGCCATTCCCCAGTCCCCAAAATAGTCAACTCCAGGTCTGTCCTATTTCACCTGTAGCCCCACTCTTCCCCACCCAAGATTATTTTGAAGCAAACAGCAGACATCATGTCTTTTCATCTGTAAGTATTTAAATATATATCTCTAAAGGTATGAAGTCTTTTAAAAACATAACTGCAAGTCATCATTATCACACCTAAAAGAATAATTCCTTAGTGTCATCATTTATTTCCATGATTGTCTTATTTTTCAAAATGTGTTAACATTGGGCCAGGCATGGTGGGTCATGCCTGTAATCCCAGTCCTTTTTGGGAGGCCAAGGCAGGTGGATCACTTGAGGTCAGGAGTTTGAGACCAGACTGGCCAACGTGGCAACACTCTACTAAAAATAAAAAAATTGGCCGGGTGTGGTGGTACGCACCAGCAGTCCTAGCTTTTTGGGAGGCTGAGGTAGGAGAATCACATGAACCCGGGAGGTGGAGGTTGCAGTGAGCCGAGACCACGCCATTGCACACCAACCTGGGCAACAGACTGAGACTCTGTCTCAAAAAAAAAAAAAAAAAAGTGTTAACATTGAAATTTAAATAAAACCCAAATATTTTGATTTCTTGATACAAATTTTATATCTCTTTTAAGATACGCGTTTCCTTTCCAACTTTCTATTTCTTGCAGTTTTGTTGCTGTTGTTGAAGACACCAGCTACTCTTTGTTGAACAGTTTACTTCAGTCTGGACTTTGAAAGTAGACCTCAAGGAAGTCAGGGAATGAGCCATGTGTGCATCTGTGGGAGGAGGATTCCAGGCACAGTGAAGCGCAATGGTGAAAACCTGGAAAGGCAAATTGATTGCCTTCCTGTGGTATCATTTAATATGGGGGTACCAGTCCATGGCCTGTTAGGAACCAGAACACACAGCAGGATGTGAGCAGCGGGTGAGCAAATAAAGCTTCATCTGTATTTACAGCCACTCCCCATCACTTGCGTTACCACCTAAGCTCCGCCTCCTGTTAGATCAGTGGCAGCATTAGAGTCTCATAGGGGCACGAACCCTATTGCAAACTGCTCATGCAAAGGGTCTAGGTAGTGTGCTCCTTATGAGAATCTAATGCCTGATGATCTGTCACTGTCTCCCATCACCTTCAGGTGGGGCTATCTAGTTGCAGGAAAGCAAGCTCAGGGCTCCCACTGATTCTACATTATGGTGGGTTGTATAATTAGTTCATTATATGTTACAATGTACTAATAATAGAAATAAAGTGTGCCATAAATGTAATGCACTTGAATTATCCTGAAACCCCTGCCAGGTCCATGGAAAAATTGTCTTCTATAAACAGGTCCCTGGTACCAAAAGGTTAGGGACCACTGATTTAACATATTCATCTTTTGCTTGTATTTTCTGTATAATACAAATTAAAAGTTAGATCTCGATTTTAGGTCAGGATTGACAAACTGAGGACAGCCCCTGTTTTTGTGAATGAAGTTTTGTTGGAGCACAGCCGTGCCCATTCATTCACAAACTGTGGCTGCTTTCAAGCTACAGTGTCTGCCATTGTTGAATAGTTTCAGCAGAGACCATATGGCCCATATTTGTCTAAAATATTTGTCAGACCTTTTAAGGAAAACTTTCTCAGCTCCTGATCTAGAGGTTTGATCAGATTCATGTTTGAATTTTTGACCTATTTTATAGGTGGTAGTATGCACTTCTACTGGGTAGAGCACAATGGTCTGATTTTCTCTCTTACTGTGAGGTTGGCAGTCCTTAATAACCGTTGCTTAGCCCTAGACCCATTAATTTGTGTTTATAAAATGATGGCTTTAAAATTTTAATATTCCTTTTATTTGTTATTTGGAATAGTTTTATAAAACACACTTTCCTTCACCAATTACATACTCTATGGTATAATTTATATAGAAAAGGCAAAATAAATATTTAATTCTCTCTTTCTCATTTTAAAACCAGTTTCCAATATTGAGTTGTTTCCCTAGCATCTTCCAGAGGTCACCAATGTGTTTAAATTTTTCTTAGAATTATTATGAAATCATGATTGGAAACACAATGTGTTTCATTTATTATCCTTATTGATGTTGAAATTGTCCTGTTTGGCCATTGGGAGCCAATTCAAGATGATTCCTGAATCTTTTCCACCCAACCTTAATGGGCTTCCTGGTTTTTTAATATAACAGGAGGTTTCAATTTCATCTCATGTATTTCCTGCTCAGGCCCAGAACTGCCATTTCTCCAAAAAGCCCTATTTTTTTCTTCCTTCTTTTTTTAACGTACAGCCCATATTTCTGGGAGTCCTAATTTGCATTTAGAAACTCCAGTCCGGGTGTTAGAGTTGTGCATTGTTTGATCTTTGTTTCTAGGCCTTCTAAATAGGCACAGCTAAGAAATAGATATTTTTGGTTTATATTTTGATACTTCGGATCAGATTTGGGGCTACAGGGTTTTAATTTGATTTCAACAATCTTACCTCTGTATCTCCTATCTCTCATGATGAAAAATTCCGGTTCTATAAGACACCAATGTAACGACTCATTTGCTCTATCCCAAGATATACAAACAACAGTTGCAAAATATGAATAATAGCACTACTACCAGCAATATGATGATTATTGTAACAAAGATTACTTGCAGTTCTTTTTGTCCCAATGATATATTTTATTATATACATATATAAAGTCAAAATACTATCTTTAAAGTCACTTCCAATACTTCCGCTCTTTGTGGTTATACCGCTAAACAGATGTACATGTCAATTCATTGGTTATTTTATTTTTTAGTTTTGGAATTGCTTGTGTAATTTAATTTTGTTTAAAATTATGTAAAATAGTAATCTGGGTCCAAAGTAAGATCTTAAGAAACCTATATTCTGTCCCTGTTTCCTTCAAACAATTCCCTTCTTCCTTCTGTGCATTTTTTGTGGTTTAATTCTCCACAAACACACACATATTAGTAGTCTTCTCTTCACTGGATAAGGCAATAACATACTCTATACATTTTTTCCTCCTTACTTTTTTTCACTTAACATTATTTCCTGGATATGGCCTGATAGTAATATATAGAGATACACTGTATACTCTATTATACCATGGTGTATGGATATGATATTGTTTATTCAATAAGTCCCTTATTGACAGGCACTTGAGTTTCCAGTATGTGTTATTTTTCTGGTACTTCTACTGTTACACATGTGCTGCAATGAATACCTTTGTGCACGTATCCTTATATTTCACGCTATCACTGGAAATGGGATTTCTGAGTCATGGGGGAAATTCATATGTAATTTCGCTAGGCACTGCTAAGTCCCCCTTGTTGCAGCTTGGGTTACTGGGAATCTGACTCAGAGATAGAGATACATGTGTGGGAGGTTTGTGAGGGCATGCTCCCAGGATCAGCATCTGTGGAAAGGTGAAGGAAGAAGCACTGGAGACAGGGAGAAGCCGGGCTATGAGGCAAATATTTTTTAGCAATATTTTCACTGTTAAGTGGAACACTGGAAGAAACGTGTCTGTAATAGAAGATTGCTTAAATAAGGTATAGCATATCCTAGAGTGATTGAGTGAGTAATTTTGCAATCATTAAAAATTCTATGTTCAAAGACTTCTTAAAGGAAATGAAAAATATTCATGATAAAATAGACAAAATTAAGATATAAAGCTCTGCATTAAAATGATGCTAAATTCATTAAAACAATATATGTATAGCCAGGAAAATAAAACATTAGAAGAAAATATAATAAAATATTAGTAATGTGTCTCTGGGGCTAAGTTGGTAATTGGTTTCATCTTCAAATATTTTTGTCCTTTCCGAATACTCTATAATTATAAATTGACAAAAAAGACATTTTTAATATTACCTCTTTGCCTTTTCAGAACCCTTAAAAAATAAAAAACCTCTCCCCAGATCACATTAAGATATCTTTCTTTGACCTGATATCATTTATAGTTTTCATTGATTCACCAACAAAAAGGAGAAAGGAACAAATTTTCTTAACATATCAGTTTTTTTCCCTCTTTCTAGTATCTTGTATCCATGTTTTAATTTATCTAAAATATGTGAGTGCCTGTTCTAGACACTATTCTAGGCACTGGAATTCCCACAGCGTTTAAGTCCATATTTTAGGACTAAGAGAAGCGTAGTGAAAGTTCAGCTAATACTGTATAAAAATAAATTCCCACATTGTTAGTTTTGATTAATTAAAACATTTATTGAGAAAACAATGACACTAAAGTATTTGAATATTTGTAATTTCTGTAATGTCCTCAACCAAAATGTTTATGCTTACATATCTTCTATCTTTGCATATCTTTACAAATCAATACATCATTTTTGCTAGCTATGATTACATGCTGCTATTTTGTATTCTCCTTAAAAATATTTTCCCATTTTTATATATGATATTTTTAATGATAATTTTTAATCATAAGTTCTGTAATTTGTTTTAACTATTTCCTCTTTGTTGCATACTCAGATATTTTCTAGTTGAGTATCGGGGGGTTGGCGATAACATATATTATCCATACACATCTTTAAAGTATTTTAGAACTGTCCCTCAATGTAAAGACCACAACATGTAACATTAGATTTCTTGTTTTATAAAATATCAAGATATTTGTTCCTATTCTGGACTTTCTTTCAGCTCTTGAAAATCCAATTTATTCTTCTTAATTAGTTTCAACTCAAACACCCTCCTCAGAGCAGTCTTCCCCAGTGGCCATACTGAAATTTGGACTGTCCATCCAGTTTCACTTCATCACATTTCTCCATTTATTCCTTAAACATTATCACTCTCTATAACTATCTCCGCTGTTTCTTGCTAGGGCCTGTCTAACCAACCAGAATATAGAGCTCCATGATCTTGCCTGTTGCGTTTACTGCTTTATTCTCAGTGCCTGGAGTACTTAACATTAGAGATCAACAAATATTTGTAAACTATATAAATTAATGAAAAAATATGAATGAACACACATCCAAAACCATAACAAGAGAAAAGACAGCCTCATATACTACTGTTAATCCTGCAGACAACTTCCTACTATGGAATATAGGGCTGGGGGTTGCGCCAGAGCCTTCCAGCCTCAGCCAACAATAGAGCCAGAGGGAACCAACTCCTTGAGAGTCTCAGAAGGTCAGAGTCTGAGTCTCTGGCTCAGATTCCTCCCGCCTTCAGAGCAAGTCCCATTAGAGGTTTTCAGTGAACATTCCTGCCACAAATATTGGTCAAAGGCGCTTGGACTGACCCAGCAGGTTCCTTAACTTTAAATCTCGGCTGGAAGGCCCTGGAGCTTCTTAAGAGAATTGATTGCTGGCCTGCCCCAACTCTGCCTGCCAAGGAGTGGGGCAGTCTCTAAACACCAACAAAAGCTCCTCTCACATCCTATCCCCAAGGGCACACCTATGTTTATATAACAGGAGTATACTGCAGTTGCTTTAATATTTAAAAGCAAATCCAAAGGCACTTGCTACCTTTATACCATGACAGAAGAGTCTGGAAGAAAAGTTAACCTCAGATACTAAGCAGCCACCCATTACACTTACACACGGTATAATCTACAAGCTCTAAAATATGTTAGCAGCTGCCCATATAAAAGTAAATATGTAACTTGGCATGCTGATGCACAGGTACTCACATACTCGAGAGGCTGAGGTAGGAGGCTCTCTTGAGGCTGGGAATCCAAGGCTGCAGTGTGCTATAATTGCACCTGCAAATACGCATTGCACTCCAGCCTGAGCAACATAGTGAGAACCTGTCACTATTTGGTAAGTAAAAATTGTAAATATGTACTAGTGGCTTAGGTTTATGACTGTCTTGAGAATTATTTATTTTCTCTGTCCTCAACACAGTCCTGTAGAGTAGGAAAGTCTTTGTCCAAGGAGTTCCAAGTTACAAGCACCACATACCTTTGTGTATGTATCATTATATTTTGCCATATCACTGGAAATGGGATTTCTGAGTCACGGAGGAAATTCATACGTAATTTTGCTAGGCGCTGCTAAATTCCACTTGTTTCAGCTTGGGTTCCTGGGAATCTGACTCAGAGACAGAGATAATTGTGTGGAAGGTTTATGAGGTTTATATTCAAGATCCATGAATGTAGTTTCCAGGTAAAAACTGAAATGAGACTAGATCCCAGAATTGTTCTCTCCACCAAATCTGACAAAATGAATGAAAAATAATTAATAAATGGCTGGATGTGGAAGGTTTTTATGATGATGACATACATTGCTATGCACTGGCCAAGGAGAACAGGTGATTGATGGGTGGCCCAGGATGGAGTATCTCCTAACACCAGTCAACCTTCCATGTACAATGGAAAGAAAATATTCAAAATCACAAATTCAATAGTTATCATTAATGCTTTCTAATACATAGAAAAGTGAACAAATTGGGTGGATAGACAAGAAAAAAAGCTTTCAAGTGTAAACTCCCCATGTGAGTTCCATCTGTGGTTTGGTGGAAGTGGGCCTAGCTTACTAGGTCCCCTAAGACTGGAGAAACCAGGCCTAATCAAAAATCAAAAATCTGAAATTCTCCAAAATTCAAAACTTTTTGAGCACCACCAACATAATGCCAGAAGTGGAAAATCCCACTTTGGGGACACCTTTGCTTTCTGATGGTTCAATGTACACAAACTTTTTTCATGCACAAACTTATTTAAAATATTGTATAAATTACCTTTAGGCTCTGTGTAAAGCTGTATAGGAAACATAAATGAATTTTGTGTTTAGAGTTGGGTCCCAACACCAAGGTATCTCCTTATGTGTATGCAAATATTCCATAACCTGAAAAAAATCAAAATCTGAAACACTATTGGTTGGTCCCAAGCATTTTCCATAAGGGCTGCTCAACCTGTATTATCTCCTTCAATTCTAACAATAATCTTCCAATAATATCAGAAATATAGTTTATTAAGCCAGGAGAAAGAGTAAACATTATGACATTGTTAGGAATGTTTGTGTGTTTAAGCAGGATTTTGGTCTGACATAGAAATATGAATATATCTGTGCTCACAGGTGAGTAGCATCTGTATTCTGACTATTCCAAATGAGTAATTTTTGTACCTGCAATTTGTTACAAAAGTGAGTTTTCCAAATTATTTTCTTAAATCTGACAGGTTAAATAGTTTAAATAAAATTGTGTGTCTAATAGGCATGATTGAGATCTAAAGAGATTTTACCCTGTATTTACCAGCTTAAAATAAAAGAAAAAAAATAGATTTACAATTTCAAGGCACCTCTCTGATTATCAATGCCCATATTGTTCAGTGATGATGGAGACAGTTTTTAAAGTTTTCTTATTTACTATGATTTATCTGTATTTAAGAAATTAAAAATACAAAAAAAAAGATACTCAAGTGTTGGGGGCTGCAGGTCTTCAAAATGTTTTTTACAGCATCTGATCAACATAGTTCTCTCTAGTCCTTTTTTTGATGTTATAGATCCTAAGAAAACATCGTTTCTAGATTCTAGTATTTCTGTCCTGTTTATATTTATCAGAGAGTGAAATAAATCCAGAAGAGTATTTTTACATTCTATACAATCTCAACAGAAAAACAAAACAAGCTAAGTGAAGATGTATTTGATTACTACCAGTAGACTTCATTACTTTTATTTTCAAGAAAAAATATATAAATTGTTAGATGTTTTACCTTCAATATGGTGAAAATGACAGCAGCGCACTTCACACTTACCTTTTTATTTAGTGCTGTACCTTCCTAATTTGGCAGTTTTTTAATTGGCATTCAGAAACCTATCGCCCATGTTACCTGTCTGCTCAGATGTGGTTTGCGAACATTTCCTAACCATACCATCCCATCCCTTTCCTTTAGTCCTCAGTGGCTTCCCCTGCACTTCCAGCTCTGAAGTAACACATGCTTTTCCTTTCTTAAACACAGTATTGTTCGCACCTTTGCATCCTGTAAAGCTTCCTTTGCACAAGATATACCTGTCGAAAACCATGTACCCAGATGTAGGTTCCGTCAAAGACTCAGTAATTGAGTGAGAGAGTTCTGGTGTGTAGACAACGGTGGCTTTGGAAGCAAGCCAGCCTGGGTTTAGTAAAAATTAAAGAAATAGGAAAGAAATACAAAAGGTGGCTTGACAGTCACAGACAGGTTTAATTTAGAGAAAATAAACATGGGAGGGGCATCTGGCCGAGTTAGGTCAGAGGCATACTCCCTTACAGACTAAGAGTTTTTAAGGATTCAAGGTGGGAGAGTTTATCAGAGGCCTCGACTGCTTCTGTGTCTCTTTGTTGTGCTTATCTGAGAGGGAGAGTTGTATCTCTGTTCCCATATATCTTTCTGCAGCTGCAGGCATACCCCACTTTTAGCTTCCTATCTTTTAACTTCCCTAACTTAGTGCACCCAAAGGGAAAGGAATGTTCTTATTAAGGCCCACTGTTTAACTGGGGCCCATTGTATGAGGATGAAGTTTGGCAGTTACCCAAGAGACTTTGCTCCCTCCTCCCTCTGTGCCCGAGCTGTCTCATCTGTGTTTTACCGTTCTGCTCTTTCCGGCTGCTTGTAGTTAGAAGAGAAGTGATTTCCTGGAAATGCATGGGGCTAGAAAGGGAGCTGAAACATAAATTAGCGGTGTTTATCCAAGATGACGATGCTCCTGCTTTGTCAGGTTTGCTTCCTGTCCCTGCCAGTTATTAGCTAGGAAACGTGGGGAAAATTGCTTAGCTTTTCCAAACTCCATCTTTAAAGTGAGAATAGTAACTTTCAGGTTTATTATAATGATTGAAAGAGATAATACATATGTTAAATACCTAACATATATTAAACCTTATTAAATAGCAGCTACTTTCATTGTTTTCCACACTTAAACATTGTAAACAGATATTATACAAGATTTAAATATTGGTAACTAGCTGTCTGAGATCATTAATATTGCCCTTAGGATATTGTCAAATCAGCTGTTGAAATTTACCTGATATACTAACTGCTATGCTTACTCACTTTTCCCTCCCTCCCTCCCTGCTTCCCCCTCCCTTCCCCCTCCCTCCCTCTGTCATCCCCTTCCTTCCTTCTTTCCTCCTTTCCTTTCTTTCTTTAGTTTTCTTTTAAGAAATGCCTTTTTATGAAAATATTTCAAAAGGAATTCAAGTTTATTTTGAAAAAATGCACACCAATACAGAAATATAGAGAGGAAAATGGCAACTCATCCTCCTCACCACACCACCAGCTCCAGTCTCATGCCTCTGGACCAAGGTAGCCAATCCTAAAAGTTTGACATGGATCATCTCAGATGCTTATCTATGTGTGTGTGTGTGCTCTGCACATTGATTTTTTAGTTAATGTATCATGTTGGAGAATGTCTGCCTTTTTACTTCATATTTTTGCAACAAGTTAGCAGAACACAACCTTCTAGGGTCTCAATGTCTTGTCTTCAGGATGCAGGACAATTGTCTTCTGGCTGTAAGTAAGCTTGTAAGTCATTCTGATCAAATCATCTCCATCCTTTTTTTTTTTCCAATGGATGCTGTGAATACATTACCATCTCCAAATGTAATGTCAATTCATATTTTTATTTTCTTTGTAGCAGTTCTTGCTTTCAGTATTGTGTTTTTGCAGGGCATAAAAATTAATAAAAATTTTATTTTTGTTAGAGTGTAACTTTAATCCATAGAAAATGTTCATTTTTAATTTTTCCTCTTTGAAATCACTTGCATCCCTTATTAATGCTGATATGTCTGCTTTTGTGTTTTTGTATTTTTTAAAATAAAACTTTGTTGATTTTGTCATTTTCAATGCTTTTATGTTTAGTTTCAGGTGTGTCTTTTATAAGCAGCTTATATCCAGATGTTTTTAACCCAATCTGACAGCTTCTGTGAGATGGAAATTCAATGCATTCATATATACTGTGATGATTCAAATGTATTTCTTGCTCTTACCCCCTTTTAATTTTATTTTCTATTTTTATGCTTTATTTCTTTTTACATTTTTCCTTGGTTGCTACTAAGCTTTATCCATTTCTTAAATTTCCTCAACACATTTGTAGATTATACATTTTACTTCTATTTTTGGAGCAGTTATCTTAAATTTTAAATTTAATGTTTGATTACCTGAGAAATATAATTGTACATTCTCCTTATTTGAAGAAACAAATTATTGAGGCAAAAGCCCTTTTCATCATCTCCTTCAATGTCAGTCCTTTCTCTCTATCTCACAATCCAAAAGAAAACACTCTTATCAGTTTATTGTGGTTGTTCCCTGACATTTTGGACATATATTGACGTATGTTTACTTTGCTTTATATTGTGTCTTCCATAAGTTGCATCACCAAGTTCTGCTATTTTTGAAATTGTTTTACTCAACAAATATATTTTGAACATCTTTCCTTGTTAATTAACATAGGTGGACCTATTCTTATTGACTGATAAATAGTAATCCATCATATGATTAAATGCCAATTTTTATTTGCATTCATATTAGTAAACATTTAACTTCTTCATATTTTTTCACTATTACCAACAATTTGCAATGAACTTCCTAGTACTGCCTCCATTTATACTACTATAGGCTGTTTCTCTTTTTAATGTTATTGGATACTGCCAAAATGATCTCCAGTTTTTATGAAAGATTAGTTTTCTCCACACTCTTGCCAACACTTAATATTGTCAGCTTTTGAAACATTTACTAATTTTCTGGGTAAAATATGTTATTATATATAATTTGCATTTGTGTGATTATATCTTTTCAAATGCTGAATATCTCACTTGGATTTCATCTTTCATGAACTGTTTGAGAATATACTTTAAAAATATTTTCTGTTTTTTGCTTTTCTGTTTATCCTTAGAAATTACTCATATATTCTGAATTCTAATTTTGTATCTGTTCAGTCTGTTACAAATATTTGTCTCTCAGTGACCTCACCTTCTTTAACTTTATTTATGCTGCCTTTATGCTAAGAAGTTGTTGGTTTTTTTCTTTAATTCTATGTGGTTCTTGCAGCTTTTGTCAACCATTCTAGTCACTTCCTAGATTCCCAATGCTACTGTAGTTTGTGTGTGTGGGCATGTGGATGAATATATGCAGTCATTTTAATTAGCTGTGGAGAGGATATCTGCAAGTAACTGCAGCTTTCCATATTGAAGTTTTACTACCATTAGCTGAGGCTTTGCCAGGTGCCTGTGAGAAGATGCTAAGAACACTTCGAGTGGAATTTTTCATTATTAAGTCTTGTAGCTCAATGTCATTAACTCCCCAAAATATCTTGAGTTCCAACAGGTAACAAAAAGCCACAGGCAGAACTGATACCTGAACTCTATGACATTTGCCATGTGAGTCTGAAAATGGGATGACAAAACTAAGACATGCCATCTCCTCATTTTCATGCTGAAAAGAAATTAAAGAGAATCTGCACAAGAGTTACATTTTTCAATAATGTGTTACTACTGGAATAAATAAACTATACTTTTTAAAAAATATAACATTTAATTTTTAATTATAAGAGAAATAGATGTTAATTTTAAAATTTGAGAGAATAAAGTTTTATAAAGATAATTAAAATGACCTAAAATCCCACCAGCCAAGACGACCACTGAAGACATTTTTTTTAAACAAAGATATTTTGATAAATATGCTTTAGGTTCTGCTTCTATGTCTGGTTTCTTGGTTTTTTATTTTTTTTACCCCAAAATTTGGCTTATTTAGAGCATGGTATCCTGGAATCTAATTTTAAAACTTTTTCCATTAAGCATTTTTCAAATTACCTAATATTTATTTTAATCACTATATGGTTTGCAATCTATTGTTAACCATAATTTATTTAACCAACCTCCTATTGCTTGACATTTACAGTATATACAAATTGTTTTAAAAAAATTCTTGAAATACAAAGCCTTTTCTTGATTCATTACATTTTGACCATTCCTTAAGAAGAAGAAGTGAATACTCTAACCAGATCTAAGTGAAGTTTTAAAAACAGTGTGTGTTTGTATAAATCTTCAAGCGTAGTGTTAAACAATTTAATTGTGATGTGTTCCTAGATCAGAACTACCCTACGGAGAGTCCAGATTTGGTGTTTTTACAGCCTTCCTTTGCAGAAAGTTAGATCGAGAAATTCATAAGCAGTACCACATTCTCTGGGCATAATAAACTAGTTTTTCTAACTTGTTTATATGTTTAATTATTTTAAAAGTCAAGAAACTGAAGCCAAAATATTCAACACATAGTTGACTAAATGGGAGGAATTCCTGGAGGTGTTCATTTAGAAAATGTGGATTTTAAGATATGCAAGTAAGGGCACTACCTCTATAGCGTTTCCTCAAATCTATGACAAATTGATTGTGAGAAATGCCATTATTTTATGTATCACTAAGAAAGACCAGGCCGGGCATGGTGGCTTACACCTGTAGTCCCAGCACTTTGGGAGGCTGAGGCTGGCGGATCAAAAGGTCAAGAGATCCAGACCATCCTGGCCAGCATGGTGAAACCCCGTCTCTACTAAAAATACAAAAATTAGCTGGGTGTGGTGGCACGCACCTGTAGTCCCAGCTTCTCGGGAGGCTGAGGCAGTAGAATTGCTTGAACCCGGTAGGTGGAGGTTGCAGTGAGCCGAGATTGTGCCACTGCACTCTAGCCTGGCGACAGAGCGAAACTCCATCTCAAATAAAAAAAGAAAGAAAGAAAGAAAAGAAAGAAAGAAAGACTAAACGTTGCCAATTAAATGATAATATGCCATCAGTTGTAAAAACAGTGAAAAAATATGCCTTAAACATGATAAAAATAAATGATATTAGCATGCTAAAATCCTAACATTAGTAAGAATGTGAAGATTGACATGAACCGTGCAATCTTCTTACCTGCACATAGATTTCTCTACTCAATGAGTTCGATTCAGTGGCTCATTAACTGACTGTAGCCTCATTGTTTCTCCTGTCTCTTCCAGGTATGGGGAGGATGTCAGGCAGGACCAGCAGCAGCTCCTGGAGGGGATCTCAGAGCTGGACATCAGGACAGGGGGAGTCCCCTCACAGCTGCTTGTACATGGAGCCCTGGCCTTCCCTCTGGGGCTGGATGCCTCACTCAACTGCTTCCTGGCGGCTGCTCACTATGGCCGGGGCCGGGTGGTCCTGGCTGCCCACGAGTGCCTGCTCTGTGCTCCCAAGATGGGGCCCTTCTTGCTCAATGCGGTGCGCTGGCTGGCCAGAGGCCAGACAGGCAAAGTTGGGGTGAACACAAATCTAAAAGATCTGTGTCCTCTCCTATCGGAGCATGGCCTGCAATGCAGCCTGGAGCCCCATCTGAACAGCGACTTGTGTGTCTACTGCTGCAAGGCGTACAGTGACAAGGAGGCTAAGCAGCTGCAGGAGTTTGTGGCTGAGGGTGGGGGGCTGCTGATTGGGGGCCAGGCCTGGTGGTGGGCCTCCCAGAACCCTGGCCACTGCCCCTTGGCTGGCTTCCCTGGTAACATCATCCTCAACTGCTTTGGCCTCAGCATCCTGCCTCAGACTCTCAAAGCAGGCTGCTTCCCCGTTCCCACCCCTGAGATGAGAAGCTACCACTTCCGCAAGGCGCTCTCTCAATTCCAGGCTATACTGAACCACGAGAATGGGAACTTGGAAAAGAGCTGTCTGGCAAAGTTGAGAGTTGATGGTGCAGCCTTCCTACAGATTCCTGCGGAGGGGGTCCCTGCTTACATATCCCTGCACAGGCTCCTGAGGAAGATGCTACGAGGGTCTGGCCTCCCAGCTGTGAGCCGGGAAAATCCAGTTGCCAGTGACTCCTATGAGGCTGCGGTGCTCTCCCTGGCCACTGGGCTGGCTCACTCTGGAACTGACTGCTCCCAGCTGGCCCAGGGGCTTGGCACCTGGACCTGCTCCTCCAGTTTGTACCCCTCAAAACACCCCATCACCGTGGAGATCAATGGAATCAACCCAGGTATGAAAACAGGAGAGAGTGCCCAGAACAT
The DNA here is from genome assembly GCF_000001405.40 of Homo sapiens. Taxonomy (NCBI): domain Eukaryota; kingdom Metazoa; phylum Chordata; class Mammalia; order Primates; family Hominidae; genus Homo; species Homo sapiens. Next base: position 143,720,706 of record NC_000007.14, read on the forward strand.
TAAAGATGTAGGGGAAAGTGGGATTGGCTGACACTACACAGGACATTGCAGGTACTTACCCTCAGGAAGATTGACCCCATTCTTTTTTTTTTTGAGACAGAGTCTCACTCTGTCATCCAGGTTGGAATGCAGTGGCGCGATCTCAGCTCATGCAACCTCCACCTCCTGGGTTTAAGCAATTCTTCTCTCTCAGCCTCCTGTGTTGCTGGGACTACAGGCACACGCCACCATGCCTGGCTAATTTTTGTATTTTTAGTAGAGAGGGAGTTTCACCGTAAAGGTAAGGCTGGTCCGGAACTCCTGACCTCAGGTGATCCACCTGCCTCGGCCTCCCAAAGTGCTGGGATTACAGTCGTGAGCCACTGGGCCCAGCTGACTCCATTCTTCATCAGGTACTTTCAAGAAGATGGGGATTGGGACACTGCTTAAGGTTTAGAGGGGATGAGCCTAAGAAGTATGGATGACTTGAGATACACAGGGGAGAAGCTGTACCACTGGGAGGGGCTGGGAGGCCCCAAGTGGAGATATACTCACATAGGAAGGAAGAACTGAGCCTTCTCTGTGACTTTTGTCAGGCAACAATGATTGCTGGGTGAGTACCGGGCTCTACCTCCTGGAAGGACAAAATGCAGAAGTCTCACTGTCTGAAGCTGCTGCCTCTGCTGGCCTGAGGGTAAGGTCTGAACACCCACATCTGCCACCTCTCAAAACCGTAGAGCTGTGTCATTCTCATCCACTGTCTAGTTCCAGCTCATGGCAATGCTGCCAGGAGTACAGAGATGGATTATTCTGCCCATTTTACAGATTTTACAGATGAAGCAGCTAAATTTCAGGGCATCTAAGTGAGTGACTGAAGTGCCTAGTGTTATCAAGCAAGAGAAGCTCACTGCAGAATGGACTAGAAGCCAAAACTATGACACTTGAGTTTTTCACCAAAAAAAAAAAACAAAAACAAAAACAAAAGAAAACATTTTATTGCAATTTGATTAACAAGGAGACAGGAGCCCAGCTCAAATCTGTCCCATTGTACTTATTTTAAAGAGTTATTTTAGTAGAAAAGGTGTAGGGAGTGGATTCTGTGATTAGTAGGTGATTGACAGAAAGAAAAGGAAGGGCTGGAAAATCCTCGGGCATGGGCAGTTACCTCTTCATGCCTCCTCATGGGTCCCATGTGCAAACTCAGAGGGAGTTAGTATGAAACATGCGGTACAAATTTAGGCTGTGTGTCAGCAAGCTCATTCTGCACAAACTCTGGTTTTATCTCTTTATCTTGACACCTGAAGGGTGTGCATAATCCCATCACTCCCCAAAATATGCCCTACATGCAGAATTTAAATTCATCCTGCCTCCTTGACTCTGAGGGCCACTTCCTACCACAGCTAGGGTCCCTTTTCTGTCAGCATTCTTTCTGGAGCTTGCTTATATCAAACCTAAGAAAAGCAACTCCAGGACTCCAGACAAAACAGATCTCCACCCATCTGGCGGCCAGAAAGGGAAGCTCTGGGCAAAGAGGGAGAGAGAATCAACCTCACTCACTCTGGATGGGCCTCCTGTGTGTTCACAGAGGACAGAGCAGAGTCCCCCAGCTCATCCTCAATATCAGCGTCCCCAGACTGGCTTAGGTCCTGCTAGAAGAACCCAGGATTTTGCCTGGCAGAAAGACACAAGACCTTTGCCAGGATCAGCCTGGTCTCTCACCAATTCATGTCAGGTGAAGACTTATAGTGGAGCTGTTTAAATCCTTAGAAAAATGATTTTAAATGCCTTGAAGTCCAAATGACTTTGGAGTGCTAAAATTTCATAAGTTTCCATGCCTAGCACATAGAAAAGGGAAGCTGGGGTTTCATGGGCATGTTTGTCTAATACCTTCCATCTACACAACCTCACACGCACATCACAAAGCATCACAAAGACTCTAATTTCTCCAACGCTTGGTGGAATCACCTGTCCAGGTACAGATAGGCTGCCACACCGATGACCTTACCAAGGCCAGGAAGCTATCTCGAGCCCCCGTGGTGACTCACCAATGCTGGATGGACAGGACTGAGCGGTCAGTCTCCTGCCTCTGGGGCGGCCTCCTCTACGTCATCGTGCCCAAGGGCAGCCAACTAGGCCCTGTGCCTGTCACTATCAGGGGAGCTGTGCCTGCCCCATACTACAAGCTGGGTAAGTGGAGTGAACATTTAGGGAGGAGGAAGAGTGGCAGATGCCGTGGGAACTGTGGGGTGGTTGCTAAATGGGAGAGGGATGAGCTTTGGTGGAGAGAAAGAGGAAGAACTGTTGGGAGGGAACATGGAGGCAGAAGATACGGAATACCCTGTGTCCATGGAGACTTCAGGGCAGACAAAGAGAAGAGTCAGGAAGCCTTTTCTTCACTTTACAGCCTATAGACGCCTGTGATAGTAGTTCATTATTGCAATGTTCTTCCAGAGTTCAAATGGTATTTTTCAGCTCAAGGGAAGTTGGAGAAGTGGGTGTGGTAGGTTCCATGATATTTATTCCCAGGTAAGACATCGCTGGAGGAGTGGAAGAGGCAGATGCAGGAGAACCTGGCTCCCTGGGGAGAGCTGGCCACGGACAACATCATCCTGACAGTGCCAACCACAAACCTTCAGGCCCTGAAGGACCCCGAGCCTGTGCTCCGCCTCTGGGATGAGATGATGCAGGCTGTGGCCAGGCTGGCGGCTGAGCCCTTCCCTTTCCGCCGTCCTGAGAGGATTGTGGCTGATGTGCAGATCTCAGCTGGTGGGTGCTCCCAGGGAATCCTCCTAGTCAGTGGAAACCATGTATCTATTACTTTGCCTTTTATGAATGTCCAAAATGTGTAAGCATAATTTTATTAGTAAAGCAAGGGAAAAAGATATAAAAGACATTGACCATGATGGGGATGAAAGAATGTTTACATGTGAAAAACAAATTATTGACATCTACAAGGTGAGATTTCACTGGATGGTAAAACAATCTCAGAAAACGTTGTATTGGGAATTCATAGATGGCAACCAGAGTCATTTCAAGGACAACATAGAAAATCAACTATTTTCTTCAAACATAAGCCAGAGTTGAAAATGAAAAGAGGAAATACGTAAGGAGGTTTATGGTAAGTACTGAGTGGTTAAAAAGAAAGAGGTACATAGGAAGAGAAATAAGGAACTCTGGATCCCAAATGGGGAAAGTTCTTTGGACCTCAATTTTCATACCTTCAAATAAGGACAAAAATTATCTCTGTCATAGAGTGTAAATTTGGACAAAAGTAGTATACATGGGGAAGAAAGAATGACACTGTTCTAGCCCTCAAGGATCTCAGATCCAGTCAGAGGACATCATATCTCAGACTGACATGTAAAGGACACTCACACACACAAAATGAAGGTGTCGAATTACAGCAAGAATGACTATGTAAAGTATAACCAAATTCTCCAGGGCCAGATTGAGGAGGAGGCCACAACTCAGGTGTGAGAGACTAAGAAGGGGATTAGGTACTATTCAGTTTCTGACCAAGTAGGGGAAAGCTATTTGCTTTCCAATCAGCACAGAGATTCTGCAATTATTGGGGATAACCAGGATGGTGAAGAAAAGTCCAATAATGGAGAAGAATGAAGGAGATAGTTTGGGCGGACCCTCCTCAATGCTCATCTCTTCCTTCTGTGTTCCCAGGCTGGATGCATTCAGGATACCCCATCATGTGCCACCTGGAGTCTGTGAAGGAGATCATCAATGAGATGGACATGAGGAGCAGGGGTGTGTGGGGCCCCATCCATGAGCTGGGCCACAACCAACAGCGGCATGGATGGGAGTTCCCCCCACACACTACTGAGGCCACCTGTAACCTTTGGTCAGTCTACGTGCATGAAACAGTCCTGGGGATCCCCAGGGCTCAGGCCCACGAGGCTCTGAGCCCTCCAGAGCGAGAGAGGAGAATCAAGGCCCACCTGGGAAAGGGAGCCCCCCTGTGTGACTGGAATGTATGGACAGCCCTGGAAACATATCTACAGGTACTGAGCAGAAATTCTGGGAGAAGGGGATGACCAGACCCCTCAGTCATGTAGCGACCTGGATCCCAGTAGCCCTCCACCTCCTTCGCCACTCCACCAGCCTGGACCTCCACCTCCCCTGGAAATGAGAGGGACTGGGCCGCAGGGTGGTGCTTCTTGGGTTATACCCCTCTAAGGCAGAGAGAATGGCACCTGTCTCACTCACCTTCTGATTTTGCAATGTAAGAGGAAATGAAAAATATTATGAAAAAAATAGAAATATAGCATATTATTCAAGGGCAGAAACTCTGTTAGACATTCCTGCAGCTGAATCACAGCTCTTGCCCTCATTGGTTTTGTTCTTGGTCTCCTAATAAGTGTTCCATAAATGGTCATTGCTTTGTTTAGTTTTGTTTTATTTCACCTGAGTTTTATGAGTCAAATGAGTTATGCTTTTTTATAATAACGGAGGGTGTCTGCAATGCAGCTGCATTACAATAAGAAGGCATTGTTGGAGACAAATCTGCTAACAAGGGTCTCATCATCCATCACCCCACTTGAAGCCAAAATGATTTAAAATGAAGAGCCAGTCAACCCAATAGTAGAACACTGAATTCATAAAGCAAGTCTACTTCCTGTGAAATAAACACAAATCCCTGCCCCCTCCCCTAGCCCTGCATTGAATGTCGATGTTTTCGAGTTGTCAATGTTGTTCCCCTTTCAGATCTCCTGCAATGTCTCCCACAGCTCTATGGATAGGAGCTGTCTGGCCCACTTTTCACAGAGGCACACACTATTTTAAAGAATTTAAGCAATCTCTCCAGTAGCCCCCATTTAAGTGAAGGACCTAGAACTTAAAATCAGGACGTAATGACAAGCCCCAGGCTTTCGCATTGCCATACCCTCTCTTAGTTTTTTGTGCCTTTCACTAATTTTCTGAAGAGTGAATGTGAGACAGTCCCAGTCAATGAGGTAACTTTGTATTGCATTCATTTCCATATCCTTAGATAGCCAGTCTGGGGGTATACGGGACCACTGACCACAATGGTAGGTTGCCCCTAAACTGTAAGTTTAAGCCCTAATTCTGTCCTAGTCTGCTACCTACTCACTGTGGAGCCCCGAATATCAGTTCTCAATAGCTCTAGAGAGACCAAGTCTGAGACTTGGCCTCAGGATAAACAGGCACCTTCTGACTCCTCTTCCTGCTAGAGGGCTTCTCCCCAGCATCCGTGCCACTGCTGCCTTAGCTCAGGCCTCGTTAGTCTTCCCTCAGTGTATTCCAGTAGCCTTCTAAGTTGTCCCAGCATCTTGCCTCAATCCTCTATGATCCATCTTCCTTACACTCCTTCCAAAATAATGTTAATACTCTGTCTATCAAATGCTTACAGTGTTCTCTAGCACATATAGGGTAAAGTCAAAGCTCATTAGCAGGGCATAGGAGGCCCTTCATGACCAGCCTCACCAGCACCTCTAGCTACATCTCCTACTGCTCTCACCTCCACATTTACCCTTCGGCATGCCAACCTGCTTATGGTTACGGACACAGCTTGCTGTTTTGGCTTCTGTGCCTCCCCTTGTTTGCTTCCTGCTGCTGAATCATGCTGGAACATCTTGTCCATTAGCTGTCAAGTCACCTGTCCAAATTCAGCTCTGTTGGCCCTTTCTCTCCTGGACATCGCCTCCTTGATAAACCAACAGTTTTAGCAATGTGTTTATTTACGTGTGTTTCTCCCTTTGGCCAGTGTTCTCTAGAAGGACAAGAGCTCTTAATGATGTTTGCCTAGCACAGTAGCTGGCGGTGTGTGGGTGTCTAATACATGTTAAACGTTTAATAAATGCTTAATTTATTGATGCATTGATTAATAAGTGTCAAAGAGCAAGCCAGTGAGAACAGATGAGCAATAATAAGGATACAACAGTGAGACTCTGAGGTAGGCTTGGCTTCGGTGGTGTTATCTGTCTTTGGGCTTTTATGAGCTACAGTCAGAGAATGCTCATCTATTAAAGGGAGAGTGGGGATGTGAAACCCCAGATCCCCGCTAACTGGAAATTTGTATAATCTTAGTAAACAAGGGCCTTCTGCCAAGGGCTTTCCGGAGAGCTGCCCCTTATGAAGTATGAGCCACTCTCATTAGCTGCCCCTTATGAAGTATGAGCCACTCTCATTTTTAGCCCCTCGAGACAGGCTGGATTTTTTTCTTTTTCTGCCCTAAATGCAGTGTTCTACAGAGCAATTTTGTATCATTGCAGATAGCCACAGGTCCAAGATGGCTATTAAAAAATAAGGATTATTATGATGTCTGGAAAGTATAGTATTGGAGGTTCGCAGCTTTTAGAATCTCAATAGGCCAGATATGTAGGAAGTGAGGGTTTCTCATCTCAGTCAGGCCCAAACCTGTCCTGATGCTGAGGAAAACACTTGAGATCTGGGAAGACAATTGTTTAAAGATACTAATAGTGGACATTTATTGAGTATTTACCTCTATTCAGACATTAGGTTTCCCCTGAGCACCCCCACTAGATTCAGGGGGTGTTGTTTTGTGGCCAAGAGGAGGAATGAGCCAACAAGATTGCATTATTGTGCAGGGGCAGAGTGGGGAGATAGGGGCACATACCCAGGATGAAGGTAACGATTGAGGGGAGGTGATCATGTGAATGAAATATATTTAAGAACGCACATGTCACGTCACTTTTGCAAACTTGACACCTCATTCTGTTCCTTCTTTCCCTTTTCAGCTCCAAGAGGCCTTCGGGTGGGAGCCATTCACCCAGCTCTTTGCTGAGTACCAGACCCTCTCTCACCTCCCCAAAGACAACACTGGCAGGATGAATCTATGGGTGAAGAAGTTCTCTGAAAAAGTGAAGAAGAATCTGGTTCCCTTCTTTGAGGCCTGGGGCTGGCCTATCCAGAAGGAGGTGGCTGACAGCCTGGCCTCCCTACCAGAGTGGCAGGAAAACCCCATGCAAGTGTACCTCCGTGCCAGGAAGTAAAGGATGCCCCACAAGGCGGGAGAGAAAAGGCAGGGTCACGCCATCAACTCCACCATGGGGCTTTGGCCGTGTGCTCAGTATCTGGAGCCTGAATCCCGCTTCCAAGCCTGACCACTAGATGGTGGCCACGGTCATAAGAAAAAATGGAACCCCTTTCTGTAAAAGGTGCCTTGTGCTTCTTTTTATTGTTTTTCTGCCTACGCTATTGCTTTCCCCAAGAGACTCACTTCACCTCTTAGTCTTCCAGAGAGGATCTTTCATCCTGCCATCCTGAGGCTTCTATTTTTGACCAATAGCTCTAAAGACCACGGGTTCCCATAACAACCTGATATCCCTTTCTCATCCCTGCCATCCCTGAATAAGGCTTCTAATTTATTATGCTTTAACAAGTTTTCAAATAGCAAGCGAGACACGCTGGAATAGTGGAGAGAGCCCCAAACCAGCTTTGGTTCTATGGAAAATCACTCCACCTCTCTGTGTTTCTGTCTTCACATCCATGACATGAGGATACAAATCTTTTCCTCACAAAGCTGTTGTTTGATTTCTCCTGGTCCCATAGTGGACTGTTAACGGTGTCCAGTCTAGCGTGCACATCCTGGGTGCTGAATCTCACTTCAGTGTTGACCCCCTTGGGGTTAGCATTCAGTCCTTGTATATTTAGAGAATGTCAATGTTTTCCCAGACATGGTATCAATAATGGTAGTTGTCAGCAGTATCTTAGCCCTTTCTACATTTTTTCTCCCACTTCTGGAAGGATTCTTGGGTATAACCTAACCCAAAGAAAAGTGGCATGTGCTGAAACTGAGTGTCACAGAGCTGTGAGGTTGGGTCTTTGGGATTAGCTTCATTTTCCAGGGTTTGCCCTTTGCCCTTCAACCAAAGGACAAAGTCATGTTAACAGCTGCTACTAAGTCTATATGCCCATTCGTTCATACCACAAAACAGGCATCTGACTCCTCTGGTCACCATGGAATCAAGGCACTGTCAAGTGGTGGGGGGTCCACAGGCACAGTGGGCTTCACTCTGGAACAGGATTACTGGGTGCAGCGGATGTAATCCTCACTTAATCAACCCACACCCCAGCATCCCCTGAGCTTTCTCTTAATCTCATTCTAGCCCATCTTGACTCTTCGGTTAGAGGGAGTTCTCATTGGAGATTTGTCTCTGGGATTAATGAGTGTATGCCTAGCTACTTTCTCCAGTTTACTTTTAGACCATATTGTTGTTTGTTTTGAATATCATTCCTTAGGCTATGTTGAGAGTAGAGTGGCTTCCCATTAGGAGAACTAATTTAGGGCATGTCTTTTGCTGAATCCCGTCAGCATATTTAACAAATTCCCAATTCTAGATAATTTCCTTTTATTTCTCTAGTACCCTTTGCCAGGGGCTCTACACATCAAAGGTGTTCATGAAGTATTTGTCAAAGGAAAGAACAGTAATGACACCTAACACATAATGAGTGATTAGTATGTTCCAGGCATTGCGTGAGCTATTTACTGTGAGTGATTTAATGTTATCTTCCCAGCAGACCTCTGAGGTAGGTACTAGTATGATCCCCATTTCGTACATGAGGAAACTGACACTAAGGGACATAAAATAAGTTTTTTGAAGTCACAAAGTGAATAAAAGGAAGAACCAGGGTTTAATTGAAGCCCATAGCAATGAAAACATTGTGGAACTTATTCTTCATGAATGGTTTACAATTTAAACAAAATGTCACCTAGAAAATAGATGAAAATATGTTCAACCAGGTCTGGATTTTTCCAATGTTTACTACTGAATTTTCATTCAATAACAAGTTTAACTTCCAAAAAGGTGTTGGTATCTGATTTTCTGCCTGCCTCAGAATGTGATTTGTCTGCCTTTGGGTCATCCAGCCTTGGGTAGAGAAGGAATTTGAACTCAGGAAATTCAACTCCAGAACTGATGTTCTTTTTTTTTTTTCATTTAAGTTCTGGGATACATGTGCAGAACGTGCAGGTTTGTTACATAGGTATACATGTGCCATGGTGGTTTGCTGCACCTATCAATCCATCATCTAGATTTTAAGCTCTGCATGCATTAGATATTTGTCCTAATGCTCTCCCTCCCATTGCCCCCAACCTCCCGACAGGCCCCAGTGTGATGTTTCCCTCCCTGTGTCCATTTGTTCTCATTTTTCATCTCCCACTTATGAGTGAGAACATGTGTTGTTTGGTTTTCTGTTCCTGTGTTAGTTTGCTGAGAATTATGGCTTCCAGCTTCATCCATGTCCCTGCAAAGGACATGAACTCATTCTTTTTCATGGCTGCATGGTATTCAATGGTATATATGCCATATTTTCTTTATCCAGTCTATCATTGGTGGGCATTTGGGTTGGTTCCAAGTCTTTGCTATTGTAAATAATGCTGCAATAAAAGTATGTGTGCATGTGTCTTTATAGTAGAATGGTTTATAGTCCTTTGGGTGTATATCCAGTAATGGGATTGCTGGGTCAAATGGTATTTCTGGTTCTAGATCTTTGAGGAATCATCACATTGTCTTCCACAATGGTTGAACTAATTTACACTCCCAACAACAGTGTAAAAGCATTCCTGTTTCTCCACAGCCTCACCAACATCTGTTGTTTCCTGACTTTTTAATGATCGCCATTCTAACTGGCATGAGATGGTACCCCATTGTGGTTTTGATTTACATTTCCCTAATGACCAGTAATGATGAGCTTTTTTTCATGTTTATTGGCCACATAAATGTCTTCTTTTGAGAAGTGTCTGTTCATATCCTTTGCCCACTTTTTGATGTGTTTTTGTTGTTGTTGTAAATTTGTTTAAGTCCCTTGCAGATTCTGGATATCAGAACTTGTCAGATGGGTAGCTTGCAAAAATTTTCTCCCATTCTGTAGGTTGCAGAACTGGTGTTCTCAACAGTGATGTTAGGGTAAAATGATGGATACTGCTGGGTTTAATAGATTGCCCTAGAAACAGAGACAATGTCTGGCTTCTTACACACACACACACTTCCTGGTAGAAGTTGGAGCCTGTAGCTCCTTGTCTCTCATACAGAGAGACTGTGACTTTGCCTCTTGTTTTTAAGTTGATAGTTAATTGTAACTGCAGTATTCTCAGATTCTTTTGTCTATTCACAGAAACTAATTTGCTGCCAGTGATAGGGATGATCCATGATTTCTGAGACATTTACTTCCATAATTTCACAGTTCTAAGTCTAGAAAAATTATTAGAAGAAAATTATTGGATGGTCTTGGAACCAACCCAAAGAAAAAAACATGTCCTGTGAACAGTAGGATAGATACTGAATGTAGCTTGTCTCACTTTGGAACTAGTGCTTATAATTTCCCTTGGACTGTATATTTTTGTCCAATCACTACTGTACAGGACATGGGTTTGGTTTGCTTTTCCCTCCCATGAGCCACTCAATTGCTTTGCTAAAAGCCCCATCAGTTTTCCTTTGGTTTCCTTTGGTACACCAACATCAACACAGAGTCCACTTGGTTTGGAAGGGGTTGGCCCACACTGTTGGCAGGAGTGGGCACAGAATCCATGCTCATCTAATTGTCCATACCTTCCAACAAGGATTGGTTCAAGTGATGGGAAGGTGGCCCTTGCCAGGGTGATGAAGTGCATACGACAGACTTTTACTGGCTGTACTGGGAAGCATACATTTTCTTTGGTACTGGAGAATTGGTAATGACAGTGCCAAATGTTGTTTGTTATTGAAGCTAAGTGAAGGGGCTCTTGAAGGATCCTTATTCAACTTTTGCCTATGTTTAGAAATTTTGTAGTAAAATTGTAATGGTGTAAGTCTACTATTTATACCTATAGAAGTAAAAGACTTTTGCCAGGTGCAGTGGTTCACGCCTGTAATCCCAACACTTTGGCAGGCCGAGGCGGGTGGATCACGAGGTCAGGAGTTCGAGACCAGCCTGGCCAATATGGTGAAACCACATCTCTACTAAAAAAAATGCAGAATTAGCTGGGTGCAGTGGCTCATGCCTGTAGTCCCAGCTACTCAGGAGGCTGAGGCAGGAGAATCGCTGGAGGTTGCAGTGAGCTGAGATCGCGCCACTGCACTGTAGCCTGGACAATAGAGTGAGACTCCGTCCAAAAAAAAGAAAAAAGAAAAGAAAAAAAGAGAAGTAGAAGACTTGTTTTTTTTAAGTTTTGAAACAATTTCTTAGGGAGAGTAGGATTGAAAGAGTAGAGAAACAGGGGAGATAAAGACAGAGTAGGGTTTGGGCAGATTCCTGTTGTTTTTCTTATAAGCTCTTTGTTAGTAATTTAATATTGTATTTCTACCACATATGTTTTCTACCCTATGCAAGCATGACACCTTTTAAACAAGATAGATATAAACTGTATTAAAATTTACAACACAGCTTGCATGCCAACATAGTCTTCCATGATTTGGTCTCTGCGAGTGTTTCCAGATTTGCCTCCCACCTCTATCCCTTGCTTTCTTTATTCCAGCTGTGATGCACACATTTCAGCGTGAATGCGGCCCTCCTTCTCATTTCTACAGATTGTTCTGTGCTCCTGGGTCATTCCTTTCTTCCACCTGTCCTTCCCTCCACTTCACAATAGAATAGAGAAGTTTCTGATGTTTGGGCTTCCTTTTGGGTAGAACAACAACAAAAGTCAACTAGAAAAATGTCCTTTTTTAGAGTTATATTTTCAGAGTGAGGACTCATTTATCATTTATATTTATCATAAGAAATTAAAACATTTTCACTTTTTGTTTTTTCCTGTTAAATCTTTAAGTATCTTTAACCAGGACTTAATTAAACTTGAATGGTCTGCAATCTTTTTCAAATGTGAATAATTTCAATGTATATTTTCTCCATTTGCTAAATTTGGTAAAATAGTGTTTAGTGTTGTATTTTTAATAAAACAAAACCTGCCCTGTGGAGAAGGGACACACTTTGTGGACGTGCCATTTGGGTCACACACAAAGGTGGGCCACTGGGGTGCCACCACTGAGCCAGCCAGGATAGCAAGAGCGACATTCTCTAATTCACACAGAGGCATTTTATGAGCTAGTGGTGGCCTTGGAGAAGGGACGGCACTTCTCTATATTACTTTGGATTGGGGTATCAGTATTTTTAAGGTTTTCTTTTTTTCTTCAGCTCTTAACCCAGAGGTCATTTCCTCGAGCCGTGTCTCTAAGCCTCATGTTCCGATAAAACCTGTAACTTCCTTTATATATCAGTCATCACATTTGTAATTATTTGTTTAAAATCTCTCTTTCCCACTACATGGAAGCTTCATAGGGGCAGGGACTAGACCTACCCTATTCACAGCTGTATCTACAGCCCCAAGGGCAGGGCCTGTCACATATCAGTTTTGGTGTAGGGGTCTATTGTATTAACACATTACTAACAAGAGTGTATGATAATGGGAGAAGACTAGATGAGGATTTCCAACTATTGTATATGTTTGCTGTCTTTAGGCGGATCACCTGAGGTCTGGCGTTCCACACCAGCCTGGCCAACATGACAAAACCCTGTCTCTACTGAAAATACAAAAATTAACTGGGTGTGGTGGCACATGCCTGTAATTCCAGCTACTTGGGAATCTGAGGCAGGAGAATCACTTGAATCCGGGAGGCGGAGGTTGCCCTGAGCTGAGATCGTGCCACTGCACTCCAACCTGGGCAAAAGAGTGAGACTCTGTCTCAAAAAAAAAAAAAAGAAAAGAAAAAGAAAGAAGAAGAAGAAGAAAAGACCTCTGTTATTTATCCCTATTCAAGAAAATGGTTTCACTATTCCAGAAAGAAGCTTTAGTGTGATTAGAACCATTCTCCTATTTTTAGCTTCTGAAAACAGGCTGCACTGTGAGAGTGAATTTTCCATTAATTCTTATTTCTCCTTTTCCTTGGGACTTGGTCAGTGAATAGTATAAGCTATTTTCAGGAGTTTCTGTATTTTGGTGAAAAAAGTATTTATCTGACATTTCCTGGGCCCTATTTCTACTACATTTCGATGTCAATTCCTCTCCTCTGCTAACATTTCCAGCCAAAGTTAACTACAGTGTAGATACTTTCATTTTGAATTAACATTTTTCCTGTTCTGCCATGTTATTAGGTTCTGGAACAGGGATATATCCCACAATAACAGTAATGACAAATTAAGACCCCCCTAAAAAAAATTCAAATTATTTTATATGGCCTCCCAGCTCCAAAACAAGGCAGCTGAGATGCCTATACATGGCACCTTCATACCGGTACATCTATCTGTTAGTCTCCATTTCTGTAGAAGAAAACAAAAAGATGCTATTAGCCTACTTCAAATTGTTGTTCCACTTTTGAATCTAACCTAGTTTCCTATGATAAGTTATTTCTTCAGGCCCCTAGGCTGTCTTCACCAGAAACTTTGAAATAGAAACCAGACCTTTCTGAGTATTGCTCAGGTACATCTCTGATACACTGATTCATCTAAGATCAAAAGTGCCCCCCGCTAATATGGCCTCAGCAGCACGTAGCTAGCACATGAACAGCAGGTCAGCCAAGACGTTAAATGTGGTCAAGGTTTCCAAAGAAGGAGAGCTACTTTTCAGTCAATGCTATCTCCTTATAGGCATGGCATGATTGCGTTTCTCAGGATATTATTTTCATGAACTTGTTCCTGCTGCAAGGTCTTTAGTACCATGCCTGGCTTCCATTTTGAAAAGCCTTCTTGTGCAAGATTGGTGCACTTCCCAGTTCTGGTAGGAGGACAGTTTGGTCCCGTACTCAGCTTGCAGAAGTTCCTACATTTTCTACACACAACTCTTTGTACTGATTCACTTTTCATTTGGGAAAGCCATGAGAAACTTTTTTCATAAAAAAATATAACCATCATCTCTATAAACTCTTCAAGATGATAAAGGGAGAGAGCATCATTTTGCAATGTTAAGCATAGGTTGGGAAAAATGGTGTTGAGAAAAAATTAAGATAGAAATTGTAAACTATCTCTCAAGCTGGAGATCTAGAGAACAAAGAAGTTGAGTAACAGATGGAGAGAAAAAGTCCTCACCCTGAGGAGTAACCAAGAGCTTACCTGAGGAACAGCTTCCCAGACACCACTTCAAATATCATATTACCTCATATCAAGAGGATAAACCCAAAGGCAGCCCAATGGAGCAGTTTGATAAGCCATTTCTGTTTTAAAATTCAATAAGAAAGATCCCTTTGTTTCTTTTTCCTAGGCTACCAACAAATTTATAAAATGTTCTTGAATGTATTGTCCTTTTCATCAAGAATAATCTGAAAAAAACCCAATCATCTTTATTGTGCAGTACAGATGGAAGGGGAGAATTAACAACAACAAAGCCACTGCTTTTTATTCCTAGGCCCTTAATAGCCCTAAAACAACTAACTGTCTGTATTAGTTCATTTTCACATTGCTATGAAGAAATACCCAAGACTGAGTAATTTATAAAGGAAAGACGTTTAGTTGGCTCACAATTTTGCAAGCCTGGGGCAGTCTCAGGAAACTTACAATCATCGCGAAAAGGAAAGCAAGCATGTCTTACATGGTGGCAGGTGAGTGATGAGAGAGCAAGAGAGAAACTACCAAACACTTAATAAAACATCGGATCTCTTCAGAACTCACTCACTATCACGAGAACAGCATGGGGGGGAACTGGCCCCCATGATCCAATCACCTCCAACCAGCTCTCTCCCTCAACACCTAGGTATTACAATTCAAGGTGATATTTGGGTGGGGACACAAAGCCTGGCCATATCACTCTCTGTTGCTAAAAAAGAAAAACTTAGGTGGAGATTTGGAAATTAAAGTCCAGTGTAATTGGCCCCACTGTGGAGAACCAAGCCATGCAAGGACACTCACAATGATGAAAAAAAAATTCTCAGCACTTAGGTAAGGCACTCAGTTGGAACAATGCTTTCCTGGGTCTGCAGACTGGAACCTAAGCAGCTGTGTGCTTCACTTAGATAAATACATATTCAATGCATGAGACTGATTCACCCTCACAAATGATACTTCTTTTAATAGGATCATGCAGTCTACTCCCAGCCACATAGTTTTTGTCTTAAATAACAAATCATTTGAACAGGTAGTTAAAATGAGGACCATTCAGGTTTGAATTAGTAAAGTTACATATGGGAAGATTCCGTGAATTATTGTAGCAGACGGGAGTTATAACAAAAAATATATTGTGCATTTATATAATTTCATAATCCCATTCAAGCAATGACCCTAAAAATCTATTTTCCAGACCACATTTACTCCCAAGGATATCAGTGTAAGTTAGGTGAATCATCAATAAACCGCTTCTTTTCAGAAACTGTTTTAAGTGCTTTTATATTTATTTATGCTCACAACATTCCTACAGAGTAAGTACAATTACACTCTTCATTTTGCTGAGAACTAGTAAGCTGTGAAGCCACATTTCCAACCCTAGAAGTTGGAGCCCACACTCTCAGCCAGCATACTGTCCTATGGAGTTACTGGATCTGCCATCGCCTGTAACTCTGCCTGCATTAGACTATGTGTCTGAATACTGAATCACAGAGCAAGCAGAGTCCAACTGCCAAAACCAATCAGGTTATTCCTAGTTACACAAAAAGCAGTTACTTTACAGTAAAGGTCATTCATCCAAGGAACACTTCGCTCAGGATATACAATTGATTTTTTTTCCAATACCAAGACCGTGTCCAACCTAGACTGGAGGGTTTTAAAGATTCTGCGATTCAAAATAAGAGCTTGATGGAGTCTTAGAGGAAGCAGGTCTTACACTCAAGGTTTTTATCCTTTTTAAGGATGCCCCAACTCCTCTCATTATGTCTAAAAGCATTGGATAAGGGACCACATACGTTCCCATAGGTTATTAGCTCCAATAGCTGTAAAATCTAAATTCCCAACAAACTGGAGACATTTCAAGAGGCAGAAATCACCCTAGAATACTTTAGGGAAATAATAATGGTCACTTTTAAGTTTTAAAGAAGTGGGTTTTTATTGTTGTTGTTGGTGGTGGTGGTTTTGTTTGTTTTTGAGATGGAGTCTCGCTCTGTTGCCCAGGCTGGAGTGCAGTCATGAAATCTCAACTCACTGCAATCTCTGCCTTCTGCATTCAAGTGATTCTCCTGCCTGAGCCTCCCAAATAGCTGGGTCAACAAGTGTTTGCCACCATGCCCAGCTAATTTTTGTATTTTTAGTAGATACAGGGTTTGGCCATGTTGGTCTCGAACTCCTGCCTCACATGATCCACCTAGCCTCGGCCTCCCAGAGTGCTGGGATTGCCGGCATGAGCAACAGCGACCAGCCTTAAAGATGACCCTACCTTTATTTAAAATGACCCTGCTTGTATTTCCTCCCCTGAATGCCTTAAAGTCCCTGACTTATTTGAAAACTTAGTATTTCGAAACAGTTTCAGAAAAAATTAAAGCCTTAGTGGTTGGTCACACTAAATGGGACCGTCAAAGCTCCTACTGCTCACAAATATTGTTAAAATGGAATAACACGCACTGCTAAAGGGAATTAAAGTCACTCCTATCTTGAATGAACCCTCGACATTTTAAGTTCTGTGTCCTCTGCATAGAATCTTTGTTCTTTGTCTCTCCCTTGTGGCCATTTAGAAAACCTTTCAGCTCCTGATCACCAGTTGAAACAGTGAAATTGTTCCCATTGTGGCAAACACAGTCTCTTGCCGTGGTTTTAATTTAAAAGAGATATTTATGTTACCCTTCCCATGAAGCAATTGACTGGTCAATATGCTCTCTACTTGTGTTATCCATAAAAATTTCCCAAACCAATTTACTTTTAGTGTCAGAAGATGCAACCCAACAATATTCTTTTTTTAATGAAATACACTGTGCTCATAAAAAATGTATCTAAAAGCATATGTACAATTTAAATAATAATTAGAAAGGGAACAATCAGATCAGCAACAGATTAAGAAATAGAATGTTGCCAATAATTGAAGTCCTCCATATGTTCCTCCAAGTTCATTGTCCCTCTCCTACCACCAGATGGAACACTAATCTGACTTCTGTGATCATTCCTTTTGCTCCTTTAGTTTTACTACCTATGTGCACAAACTTAAACTACATAGTTTAGTTTTAACTTGTTTTAAACTGTATAAGAATACAAGAAAGTTATATTATATGTAATCTTTTATGACTTGCTTCTTTAGTGCAATACTGTGACATCGTCTGTGTTGATTTGTGTAGCTCTACTTCATTTTTCTTTCTGCCTAATACTCAGTTATATAACTATAATACAATCAGTTAATCTATTTTGCTGCTGATTGGTTTTTGATTGTTTTTATTTGGGGCCTATCTGATACTACAAACATCCTTTACATGTATATCTGTGCGAGAGTTTCTCTGGCATACCCTAGGAAAGGAATTGCTGTATCGTAGAATATGCATAGCTTCAACCTTCTTAGATAAAACCAAGCTGTAGATAAAGACAAGTCAAAGATAAATCATATCACTTAGAGTATATGAGTTTCCATTGCTCTAGATCCTTAGGAACACTTGATATTATGAAATACTTTTTTTTCCAAAGTGATGAGTGCATAGTAATATATTATTGTGGTTTTAATTTGCATTTTCCTCATTACTAATGATGTTAAGCAGCTTTGCATATATTAACTAAACATTTGATTTTTGCTTTTATTTTGAAGTGCTCATTCCATTTTCTTGTGTATTTTTCTATCGGATTTTCTGTATGTCACAATGTTTTAGATATATAAACTTGGTCAGTTACATGTGTGGCCAACAGCTTTTCCCACTCTGGGCCAATTTTCACTCTTCTTGTGGTGTATTTTAATAAACACAACTTCTTAATTTTAAAGTAGTCAAAGTTATTAATCTTTTTTATGATTAATACTATTTGTACCATGAGTAAAAAAAATTGTTTACCCAAATTCCACAAAGAGATTTTTCTATATTATCTTCAAAGAGTTGTATAAATTTTTAAGTTTAAATGAGTTTTGGGCATAGTGAACTAGGAATACAACTGTAGTTTTTTAAAATATGGATTCCTAATTATAGCACTGTTCATTGAAAGGTTCACTCTTTCTGCCTCATCTACGGGGCCAAAAGTCTGGATCTGTGTGGATCTCTTTGCAGGCTCTCTATTCTTTTCTATTTTTTTTCTTCATCTCTATGCCAATGCTATACTATTGTAATATCTTCATAATAAATCTTGCTAATTATTCTACCTTAGTTTTTGTCAAGAACACACAATTATTCTTGGTTGTTTGTGCTTCCATTTAAATTTTTAAACCAGCTTGTTGCATTCCACTAAAACAAGTGAGTAAACAACTACAATAATGAAAAACCCTGTTGAGATTTTGATTCTAAGTAATTTTTTAAGAATATGCATCAATTAGTGGAGACTTGAATTTTTTTTTTTTTTTGAGGTGGAGTCTCGCTCTGTCGCCCAGGCTGGAGTGCAGTGGCACGATCTTGGCTCACTGCAACCTCCACCTCCTGGGTTCAAGTGATTCTCCTGCCTCAGCCTCCCGAGTAGCTGGGACTACAGGTACCCACCACCATGCCCAGCTAATTTTTGTATTTTTAGTATAGACAAGGTTTCACCATATTGGCCAGGCTGGTCTTCAACTCCTGACCTTGTGATCCACCCACCTCGGCCTCCCAAAGTGTTGGGATTACAGGCATGAGCCACTGTGCCCGGCCGAGAATTGATTTTTTAAAAATTAGTTTTCCAGAGGGGAGGAGGCAAAGCAAGATAGCGGAATAGAAGGCTCCATTGATAGTCTGCCCTGCCACCACAAGGACACCAGGTTAACAACTATCTACACAGAAAAAATACCTTCATACGAACCAAAAATCCGGTGAGCCCTCATAGTACCTGGTTTTAACTTCATATGGCTGAAACAAGCACTGAAGAGATAGAAAAAAAACAGTCCTAAATCAAGTATGCCACCCCTCCTGCACCCTTCAGCAATCATGGCGTGGTGCAGAGAGCGTCTCTAGGTGCTGGGGAAGGAAGAATACAGCAATTGTGAGGCATTGAACTCAGTGCTGTCTTGTTAGAGCAGAAAGGAAAACCAGACCAAACTCAGCTGACACCCACCCACAGAGGGAGCATTTAAACCAGGCCTAGCCAGAGGAGAATCACTGATTCCAACAGTTAGAACTTGAGTGCCTGCAAACTTCACCACCGAGGGCTATAACACTCTGTATCTCCAAGTAAACTTGAAAGGCAGTCTGGGCCATAAAGACTGAAACTCTTAGGTGAGTCCTGGTGCTGAACTAGGCCCAGAGACAGTGAACTGGGACTGCATGTGGCGTACAGAAACACTAGCTGGGGCAGCTAAGGGAGTGCTGGCTTCAACCCTCCCATAAACCCAGGCTGCACAACTTATGGCTCGGAAAGACCTCTCTTTCTTCCAGTTGAAGGTAGGAAAAGGGAGAGTGGGAAAGACTTTGTGATGCACCTAGGATACCAGCTCAGCTACAACAAAACAGGGCAACAGTCAGAGTCACGAGGTCCCCACTGCAGGCCCTAGCTTCCAGATGACATTTCTACACACACCCTGGGCCAGAAGGGAACCTGCTGCCTTGAAAGAAAGGACCCAGTCCTGGCAGCATTTATCGCCTGCTAACTGAAGAGCCCTTGGGCCCTGAATAACCAGCAGCAATACCCAAGTACTACACCAAGGGCCTTGGGTGAGCCTTTGAGGCTTGCTGGCTTCAGGTGAGACTCAGGATATTACTAGCTGCGGTGGCTCTGGGGCAAAACTTCTGCTTGAGAAAAGCAGAGGAAAAAGTAAAGGGAACTTTGTTTTGCACCTTAGGTACCAGCATGGCCACAGAAGGATAAAGAACCAGTCAGGCTCTCGGGGTCCCCAATTCTAGGACTTGACTCTTGGACAGCATTTCTGGACCTGCCCTGGGCCAGAGGAGCACCCACTGCCCTAACATGGGAGTCCCAGGACAGGTAGCATTTATGACAAGCTGACTTAAGAGATCTTGGGCTTTAAGGGAACTTTGGTGGTAGTCTGGCAGTACTCCTTGTGGCCTGGGTGGTGGTGGCTATGGGGTGAGGCTCCTCTGCCTTTGGAAAGGGGAGGCAAGAGTGGGAAGGACTGCATCTAGTGGTTAGAGTGCCAGTTCAGCTGCAATACAAGAGAGCACCAGGTAGACATCTAAGGGTTTTTACTCTAGTCCCTGACTCCCAGATGGCATTCTGGACCCACTTCTGGGGCTTAGGGGAGCTTGCTGCCCTGAAGGGAAGGGCATAGGCCTGATTGGCTTTGGCATTTACTGATTGTAGAGTCCCAAGGCCTTGAGGTAATGTAGGCAGTAGCCAGGGAGTGGTTACAGCAGACCTTGGGTGAGACCCAGTAAGCACTGGGCTGGCTTCAGGTCTAACCCAGAACAGTCATAGTGGTGGTGGCCAAAGGGGTGCTTGTGCCACTCCGCCCCCAGCTTTAGGTGGCACAGAACAGAGAGAGAGAAATTCTGTACATTTGGGAGAAAGTAAGAAAAGAGAATAAGAATTTCTGCCTGGTAATCTAGAGAATTCTCCTGGATCTTGTCCAAGACCATCAAGGTGGTACTTGTACAAGTCTGCAAGAACCATGATGTTACTGGGTTTGAGATGCCCCTCTAAAGTAGATACAGTTTGGATCACAAGACTCAAGTCCTTTCAGGCATCTGGAAAGCCTTCCCAAAAAGGACAGCTACAAGCAAACCCAGACATTGAAGACGACAATAAATGCCTAACTCTTCAATGCCCAGACAATGAAGAACATCCACTAGCATCAACACCATCCAGGAAAACATGACCTCACCAAACAAACTAAATAAGGCACCCAGGGCCAATTCTGGAGAAACAGAGATACGTAAACTTTCAAACACAGAAATCAAGATAGCTGTGTTGAGAAAACTCAAAGAAATTCAAGATAACACAGAGAAAGAATTCAGAATTCTATCAGATAAATTTAACAAAGAGATTGAAATAACTAAAAAGAATCAAGCAGAAATTCTGGAGCTGAGAAATGCAATTGACATACTGAAGAATGCATCAGGGTCTTTTAATAGCAGAATTGAGCAAGCAGAATAAAGAGCTAATAAACTTGAAGTCAGGTTATCTTGAAAAAACAAGACCCACTCATCTGTTGCCTACAAGAAACACACTTCACCTATAAAGACACACATAGACTGAAAATAAGGGGATGGAAAAAGATATTCTATGCCAATGGAAGCCAAAAAAAGAGAAGAATTCACTATACTTATATCAGACAAAATAGATTTTAAGACAAAAACTATAAGAAGGGACAAAGAAGGACACTATATAATAACGGAGGGCTCGATTCAGCAAGAGGATGTAACAATTTTAAATATGTATGCACCCAACACTGGAGCACCCAGATATATAAAGCAAATATTATTAGAGCTAAAGAGAGAGATATGCCCCAGTGTAGTAATAGCCGGAGACTTCAACACCCTACTTTTAGCATTGGACAGATCTTCCAGACAGAAATCAACAAAAAAAAATCAGACTTAATCTGCACTATAGACCAAATGAACCTATTTACCCAGTAGTCATTTAGGAGGAGATTGTTCAGTTTCCATGTAGTAGTGTGGTTTTGAGTGAGTTTCTTAATCCTGAGTTCTAATTTGATTGTCCTGTGGTCTGAGAGACTGTTTGTTATGATTTCTATTCTTTTGCATTTGCTGAGGAGTGTTTTACTTCCAATTATGTGGTCAATTTTAGAATAAGTGCAATGTGGTGCTGAGAAGAATATATATTCTGTTGATTTGGGGTAGACAGTTCTGTAGATGTCTATTTGGTCCAGAGCTGAGTTCAAGTCCTGAATATCCTTGTTAATTTTCTGTCTTGTTGATCTGTTTAATATCCACAGTAGGGTGTTAAAGTCTCCCACTATTATTGTGTGGGTGTCTAAGTCTCTTTGTAGGTGTCTGAGAACTTGCTTTATGAATCTGGGTGCTCCTGTATTGGTGTATGTATATTTAGGATAGTTAGCTCTTCTTGTTGCATTGATCTTTTTACCATTATGTAATGCCCATCTTTGGTTCTTTTGACCTTTGTTGGTTTACAGTCTGTTTTATCAGAGACTAGGATTGCAATCCCTGCTTCTTTTTTGCTTTCCTTTTTTCTGGGTAGCTTCCTCCATCCCTTTATTTTGAGCCTATGTGTGTCTTTGCAAGTGAGATGGGTCTCCTGAATACAGCATACCACTGGGTCTTGACTCTATCCAATTTGTCAGTCTGTGTCTTTTAATTGAGGTATTTAGCTCATTTACATTTAAGGTTAATATTGTTATGTATGAATTTGATCAAGTCATTATGATGTTAGCTGGTTATTTTGCCTGCTAGTTGATGCAGTTTCTTCATAGTGTTGGTGGTCTTTACAATTTGGTATGTTTTTGCAGTGGCTGGTACTGGTTGTTCCTTTCTATGTTTAGTGCTTCCTTCTGAAGCTCTTATAAGGCAGGCCTGGTGCTGACAAAATCTCTCAGCATTTGCTTCTCTGTAAAGGATTTTACTTCTCCTTGATGTATGAAGCTTAGTTTGGCTGCATATGAAATTCTGGGCTGAAAATTCTTTTCTTTAAGAATGTTGAATATTGGCCCTCACTCTCTTCTGGCTTGTAGAGTTTCTGCCAAGAGATCCACTGTTAGTCTGATGGGTTTCCCTTTGTAGGTAACCTGACATTTCTCTCTGTCTGCCCTTAACATTTTTTCCTTCATTTCAACCTTGGTGAATCTGACAATTCTGTGTCTTGGGGTTGCTCTTCTCAAAGAGTATCTTTGTGGTGTTCTCTGTATTTCCTGAATTTGAATGTTGGCCTGTCTTGCTACGTTAGAGAAGTTCTCCTGGATAATATCCTGAAGAGTGTTTTCCAACTTGGTTCCATTCTTTGTGTCACTCTCAGGTAAACCAATCAAACATAGATTTGGTCTTTTCACATAGTCCCATATTTCTTGGATGCTTTGTCCATTCCTTTTCATTCATTTTTCTCTAATCTTGTCTTCTGCCTTTATCTCATTGAGTTGATCTTCAATCTCTGATATCCTTTCTTCCACTTGATCGATTCAGCTACTGATACTTGTGTATGCTTCACGAAGTTCTCGTGCTGTGTTTTTCAGCTCCATCAGGTCATTTATGTTCTTCTCAAACTGATTATTCTAGTTAGCAATTCATCTAGCCTTTTTTCAAGGTTCTTAGCTTCCTTGCATTGTGTTGGAACATGATCCTTTATCTCAGAGGAGTTTGTTACTACCCACCTTCTGAAGCCTACTTCTCTCAATTCATCAAACTCATTCTCCATTGAGTTTTGTTCCCTTGCTGGTGAGGAGTTGTGATCCTTTGGAGGAGAACAGGCCTTCTGGTTTTTGGAATTTTCAGCCTTTTTGTGCTAGTTTCTCCCCATCTTCGTGGATTTATTTACCTTTGGTCTTTGATGTTGGGACCTTCGGATGAGGTCTCTGAGTGGACATCCTTTTGTTGATGTTGATTCTATTTTTTTCGGTCTGTTAGTTTTCCTTCTAACAATCAGGCCTCTCTGCTGCAGGTCTGCTGGAGTTTGCTGCAGGACCCTCTTTGCCTGGGTATCACCAGCGGAGGCTGCAGAACAGCAAAGATTGCTGCCTGTTCCTTCCTCTGGAAGCTTTGTCACAGAAAGGCACCTGCCAGATGCCAGCCAGAGCTCTTTTGTATGAGGTATCTGTTGGCCCCTACTGGGAGGTGTCTCCCAATCAGGAGACATAGAGGTCAGGGACCCACTTGAGAAGGCAGTCTGATCCTTAGCAGAGCGTGAAGTTCAAGGCTGTGCTGGGAGGTCCGCTGCTCTCTTCAGAGCCATCAAGCAGGGATGTTTAAGTCTGCTGATGCTGCGCCCACAGCCACCCCTCCTTCCAGGTGCTCTATCTCAGGGAGACGGGGTTTTTTATCTATAAGCCCCTGGCTGGGGCTGCTGCTTTTTTTTTTTTTTTCCCAGAGATGCCCTGCCCAGAAAGGAGGCAGTCTGTCCACAGTGGCCTTACTGAGCTGTGATGGGCTCCACCCGGTTCAATCTTCAGAGCGGCTTTGTTTACACTGTGAGCGTAAAACCGCCTACTCAAGCCTCAGCAATGGCGGATGAACCTCCCGCGACCAAGCTTGAGCGTCCCAGGTAGAGCTCAGACTGCTGTGCTGGCAGCGAGAATTTCAAGCCAGTGGATCTTAGCTTGCTGGGCTCTGTGGGGGTGAGACCCACTGAGCCAGACCACTTGACACCCTGGCTTCAGCTCCCTTTCCAGGGGAGTGAAAAGTTCTGTCTCACTGGTGTTCCAGGTTCCACTGAGTTATGGGAAAAAAAAAAAAAATTCCTGCAGCGAGTTTGGTGTCTGCCCAAATGGCTGCCCAGTTTTGTGCTTGAAACCCAGGGCCTTGGTGGCATAGGAACTGGAGGGAATCTCCCAATCTGTGGGTTGTGAAGACCGTGGGAAAAGTGCAGTATCTGGGCCAGAGTGCACCATTTGTCACAGTGCAGTCCCTAATGGCTTCCTTTGGCTAGGAGAGGGAGTTCCCCAACACCTTGCACTTCCCGGGTGAGGCGACTCCCCACCCTGCTTTGGCTCGCCTTCTGTGGGCTGCACCCACTGTCCAACCAGTCCCTATGAGATGAACCGGGTACCTCTGTTTGAAATGCAGAAATCGCCCATCTTCTGCATAGATCTCACTGGGAGCTGCAGACTGGAGCTCTTCCTATTTGGCCATCTTGCCAGCCGGAGCTCGGATTTTTTATTTTTCTTCCTTTCCCTATATATTTTTTTTCTGTTTCTTTCCCCTTCCCTTTCCTCCTCTCCCTAGAGGATGTGACTGAGGATAATGCTGGGTAGGGTCTTTTGACTTTGCTTCCATAACCCTATGCACTTCTGTCCGCAGGTTTTATATTGGGCTGGGTACTTTGACCTACAAGCCAGTAGATGGGGGCTTATGGGTAATAGCAGGTTGCAGCCAATGGGGCTGGGTATATACTCGATCCTCCTTTACTGGAAAAACACTGGGTAGGGCTGGACCTGGCAAGTCCATCTACAGGTCCCCCAATGATAGGCACAAGCACCAGCTCTGAGGGAGAGTCCAGTGGGCAGCCACCAAGTGTCCAGAGGCGTGCCTCGGCATGGAGGTAGGAAACCTCCTTGGCCCCAAGTTCTCTGCATAGGAGTGTCAGAGGCAGCCTGATCTCTTAATCCAGGAGAGTGGCTGCTCCAGATGCCTGGAGATCTGCCTGGTTGTGGAGTGGAGAGGGTCTCCTTGCACCACTATCGCTGCGCAGGAAGGATGGGGTGGCTCAAGCTACTTACTGCTCCAGGCAAGCAGGTGTTCCAAATACCTGGAAATCTGTGGAGCAGAGAGGGTCCCACTGCACCGCAATCTCTGCACCAGAAGAATGGAGCAGCTCAGACTGCTGATTCACGCTAATGGGCACTCTGAATCCCTGGATATCTGCCTGGGCAAGAAGTGGAGATGGCCCCCTTGCACAAGGATCTCTGCACAGGAAGGAAGGGGCAACCCAGGCTGCTAGCCCATGAGAGCGGGTGCTTTAAATGCTTGGAGATCTGCTTATATGTAGAATGGAGAAGGCCCTGCTACACCACAGTCTCAGGAAAGTAGGCTGGGACACCCAGCAATAACACACACAGACCAGTTCTAGTTCATCAGGCTGGCCCTGGCTGAAAGTCTCACTGCCCAGGAGAAACCACAGCCATAGCAGCTCTCCTCTTGCCCAAGGCCTGTGACTGGGGAAAGCACAATTCCCGTGCCTACTGTTGAGGTATTTTCCATGGTTCTGGCTGTGGAGGACCCTACCCTGATCCAGAGCAGGTGCTCCATTCTCTACCCCAATACTAAAATGCCTGCATGGCCACACTGCTGGGTTGCCAAAGAATGGCTGACTTTAGATGCACCCAAATTAAAAATGGTATCCTGTTCTCTGTCCTGGGACTGGGAAAATGCCTGTAGCTTTATCCAGTGTCTGTCCCTATCAGCATCTCCAAGCCTCTCCTGAAGTTAGCTCCAGGATTTGGGAGAAACAAAGTGCTGTCTCTCAGCCTGGATTGCTCTGATCCTCAGTGGAAACGTGAGTCACAGAGGGAAGCTTCTACCTCTCATGTGCTGGGACTTCATTCACTTTTCTCAGCTGGACAGCATTATGGTGGCTGTTTGCCAGCATTCTCCTTCTCAGGATCTGGAGTGTTCTTCACAATTCCAGTGGATCTCCATTTTCCTTCTTGAATTAAAGCTCACAGTATTTATCTTTATGCACTGCCTTGCTATTTCCAAGTGGCTGTGGCATGCTAAAAGCTTCTAATTGTCATCTTGAAAAAAAAATCTATGAACAATGTTTGATATGAGTTGGCCAATACTCAACTGAAAATAAAAAAATTTATATGCAAGGATAGTCTCTGAGGTTGAGCATTTTTGTTCAGTGATGAAGCATTTGAATTATCAACATGGTTAATGCTATGGAAATCTATGGAACCAATTCGTTTAAGAAATGGATTCGTATCTTAATAAAGAACATCTTTTTTATTGTTTAATTGCTGAAACAAGATGTCAGCCTATTACCCTAATTAACCAGTTCAATCACAGCCATTCACATCATCTAGTACCAAGTGGTATTTTTCAGAGAAATGAACATGAGGAGGGAAACTCCTTGACTGGAAAAAAAATTGATACATATAATCATTACAGAGCTGTATATTTATATAAGACCAACTGTGAGATGAATGAAGAAATCTCTGAGATTCACTGTTGAGTAGCTTAAAATTTCCAAGTCCTCTGCTAGACTTGAAAACTATTTAGTGTTGAACAAAAATAAGATACTATATCTCACAATTCCTATATGAATGCTTCCATTCCTACTTTATTTCTGCTTTCATTTTCACGGCTCATCTACAGTCTCTCTTCCAGCCTCCCATTTGTATTTTACAACATGCATAATTACAGATTTATTCTTTAATTATCTCATTTTCATACGATTTTTATATCTCTTGAAAGATTTCTTGGAAACTTCTGTCTTTTTTATTTTCCAGAGAGGCAGAGTATTTTTAGGCAATAATATTTTACCTTATCATGCCTTTCAACTATTACAAGAAAAAGGGAAAGTAGTAAAATAAATAAACAAATACAGACAGTCACCAACTTACAATGGTTTCACTTAAGATTTTCAACTGTATGATGGTGGGAAAGTGATACGTATTGAGTAGGAACCATATTTCAAGTACTCATGCTACCATTATATTTTTCATTTTCAGTACAGTACTCAATAAATTACATGAAATATTCAACAGTTTACTATAATATAGGCTTTGTGTAAGATTATTTTGCCCAACTGTAGGCTAATGTTAGTGTTCTAAGCACGGTTAAGGTGGGCTAGGCTAAGCTATGAAGTTGGGTAGGTTAGGTTTATTAAACATATCTTCAAGCCAGGTATAGTGGTTTGTGCCTATAGTCCCAGCTGCTCAGGAAGCTGAGGCAGGAGGATTGTTTGAGCTCAAGGAGTTTGAGACTATAGTGCACTATGAGCACACGTGAGAATAGCCACTGCACTCCAGCCTGGGCAACATGGCAAGAGTCTACATTTTGTTTAAAAAAAACAGCATCTTCAACTTAGAATAGTATCAACTTATGATGGGTTTATTGAAACATGATCTTATCATAAGTTGAAGAGTATCTTTATATAGTAGAATATAATAACATACTACAGACTTATTTTCTCAAAGCATAAAGATAAACCACACTAATGATCATCCATGGGAGAGGGACACCTAGACAATGTCCTGCAAAATGAGAAATACTTGTAAGACATACTTTACATTCCAGACTGAGTCTCTTTCACCATGAAATAAAATCATTAAGAAATTTTTAGTAATATTTTAATTAAAATTTTAAGTATAGAAAGAAGGTTGTATAGCTTTACATTAAAAATAAATTAGTACGTGACTTGGCTACTTGACACCAAAGTAGCTGGTGCCAGATTCACGCTTCCATCATAATTTGATTATGAGCATCATAATTGGAAGTTGACTTGGGACGCTGGAGCTTGGTGCGGGGAGGGGCATCTGCCATTACTGAGGCTTGAATAGGTGGTAAACAAAGCTGCTGGGAAGTTCAAACAGGGTAGAGCCCACTGCAGCTAGCAGCTCAGCAAAGCCACTGTAGCCAGACTGCCTCCCTGGATTCCTCCTCCCCGGGCAGGGCATCTCTGAAACAAAGGCAGCAGCCCAGTCAGGGGATTATAAATAAAACTCCCACCTCCCTGGGACAGAGCAGCTGGGGGAAAGGGTGGCTGTGGGCACAGCTTCAGCAGACTTAAACGTCCCTGCCTGCCAGCTCTGAATAGAGTAGTGGATCTCCCAGCACAGTGCTTAAGCTCTGCTAAGGGACAGACTGTGTCCTCAAGTGGGTCCCTGAACCCAGTGCATCCTGACTAGGAGACACCTCCCATTAGGGGTTGACAGACACCTCCTACAGGAGAGCTCAGGCTGACATCTGATAGGTGCCCCTCTAGGATGAAGCTTCTAGAGGAAGGAACAGGCAGCAATCTTTGTTGTTCTTCAGCCCTCGCTGGTGATACCCAGACAAACAAGGTCTGGAGTGGACCTCCAGCAAACTCCAGCAGACCTGCAGCAGAGGGGCCTGACTGTTAGAAGAAAAACTAACAAACAGAAAGGAATAGCATCAATTTCAACAAAAAGGACATCCACACTGAAACCCCATCTTCATGGGGTTTCATCTTCGATGTTGTAGGTCACCAACATCGAAGACCAAAGGTAGATAAATCCACAAAAATGAGGAAAAAGCAGTGCAAAATTGCCGAAAATGCCAAAAACCGGAAAGCCTCTTCTCCTCCAAAGGATCACAACTCCTCGCCAGCAAGGGAACAAAACTGCATGGAGAATGAGTGATGAATTGGCAGAAGTAGGCTTCAGAAGGTAGGTAAAACAAACCTCTCTGAGCTAAAGGTGCATGTTATAACCCAATGCAAGGAAGCTAAGAACCTTGAAAACACATTACAGGAATTGCCAACTAGAATAACCAGTTTAGAGAAGAACATAAATGACCTGATGGAGCTGAAAAACACAACACGATGACTTTGTGAAGCATACACAAGTATCAATAGCTGAATCAATCAAATGGAAGAAAGGATATCAGAGATTGAAGATCAACTTAATGAAATAAAGCATGAAGACAAGATTAGAGAAAAAAGAATGAAAAGGAATGAACAAAGCCTCCAAGAAATATGGGACTACATGAAAAGACCAAACCTACGTTTGATTGGTATACCTGAAAGTGACCAGGAGAATGGAACCAAGTTGGAAAACACACTTCAGGATATTATCCAGGAGAACTTCCCCAACCTAGCAAGACAGACCAACATTCAAATTCAGGAAATACAGAGAACACCACAAAGATACTCCTTGAGAAGAAAAACCCCAAGACAAATAATCATCAGATTCACCAAGGCTGAAATGAAGGAAAAACTGTTCAGGACAGCCAGAGAGAAAGGTCAGGTTATTCACAAAGGGAAACCCATCAGACTAACAGCAGACTTGGCAGGACCCTACAAGCAAGAAGAGAGTGGGGACCAATATTCCACATTCTTTTCTTTTTTTTTTCTTTTTTATTTTCTAGACCACTGAGAAAATCTTTGTTTACACTAAATTTCAACAAAATTTACATAAATACATTCCAAATGTACAATTTTCACCTCTGATTTTTTCACGTCATTTAAAAGGTTAGTCTGTCCTGTTCCTGTTTTTCCTTTCAGACACCAGTGTGGCACTGACGTTGGCAGGTGGAGGGGAGCTCCCAGGGAGCTGGGGGGTGCCTGAGGGCTCAGGCTGCTTGGGGCAGACTTCTGTCTGGGCCGCCAGCTTTTCAGCTGCATCCCTGCCCTCACATTCTTAAAGAAAAGAATTTTCAACCCAAAATTTCATATCCAGCCAAACTAAACTTCATAAGTGAAAGAGAAGTAAAATCCTTCACAGACAAGCAAATGCTCAGTGATTTTGTCACCACCAGGCCGGTGTTACAAAAGCTCCTGAAGGAAGCACTAAATGTGGAAAGGAACAACTGGTACCAGCCACTGCAAAAATGTACCAAATTGTAAAGACCATCAACACTATGAAGAAACTGCATCAACTAATAGGCAAAGTAACCAACTAACATCATAATGACACGATCAAATTCACACATAACAATATTAACCTTAAATGTAAACAAGCTAAATGTCCCAATTAAAAGACAGACTGGCAAATTGGATAAAGAGTCCAGACCCATCGGTGTGCTGTATTCAGGAGACCCATCTCATGTGCAAAGACACACACAGGCTCAAAATGAAGGGATGGGAGAAGATTTACCAAGAAAATAGAAAGCAAAAAAAAAAAAAAAAAAAAAAAAAAATCAGGGGTTGCAATTCTAGTCTCTGATAGAACAGACTGTAAACCAACAAAGATCAAAAAAGACAAATAAGGCATTACAAAATGGTAGAAGGATCAATGCAACAAGAAGAGCTATCTATGCTAGATATACATGCATCCAATACAGGAGCACCCAGATTCATAAAGCAAGTTCTTAGAGACCTACAAAGAGACTTAGACTCCCACACAATAATAGTGGGAGACTTTAACACCCTACTGTTGATGCTAAACAGATCAACAAGACAGAAAATTAACAATGATATTCTGGACTTGAACTCAGCTCTGGACCAAGTGGACCTAATAGACATCTACAGAACTCTGCATGCCAAATCAGCAGAATATACATTCTTCTCAGCACCACATCACACTTATTCTAAAATTGACCATATAATTGGAAGTAAAACACTCCTCAGCAAATGCAAAAGAAGGGAAATCATAACAAACAGTCTCTCAGACCACAGTGCAATCAAATTAGAACTCAGGATTAAGAAACTGACTCAAAACTGCACAACTGTATGGAAACTGAACAACATCCTCCTGAATGACTACTGAGTAAATAATAAAATTAAAACAGAAATAAATAAGTTCTTTGAAACCAATGAGAACAAAGACACAACGTACCAGAATCTCTGGGACACAGCTAAAGCAGTGTTTCGAGGGAAATTTATAGCAATAAAAGCCCACAGGAGAAAGTGGGAAAGATCTAAAACTGACACCCTAACATCACAATTCAAAGAACTAGAGAAGCAGGAGCAAACAAATTCAAAAGCTAGCAGAAGACAAGAAATAACTAAGATCAGAGCAGAACTGAAGGAGATAGAGATACGAAAAACCCTTTTAAAAAAATGAATCCAGGAGCTGTTTTTTTGCTTGTTTGTTTTTTGAAAAGATGAACAAAATAGACTGCTAGCTGGACTAATAAAGAAGAAAAGAGAGAAGAATCAAATAGACACAATAAAAATGATAAAGGGGATATCACTACTGATGCCACACAAATGCAAACTACCATCAGAGAATAGTATAAACACCTCTACGCAAATAAACTAGAAAATCTAGAAGAAATGGATACATTATCGGACACATACACCCTGCCAAGACTAAACCAGGAAGAACTCGATTCCCTGGATAGACCAATAACAAGTTCTGAAATTGAGGCAGTAATTAATAGCCTAGCAACCAAAAAAAACCCAGGACCAGATGGATTCACAGCTGAATTCTACCAGAGGTACAAAGAGGAGCTGATACCATTCCTTCAGAAACTATTCCAATCAATAGAAAAAGAGGACTCCTCCCTAACTCATTTTATGAGGCCAGCATCATCCTGATACCAAAACCTGGCAGAGACACAACAAAAAAAGAAAATTTCAGGCCAATATCCCTGATGAACATCGATGCAAAAATCCTCAATAAAATACTGGCAAACAGAATCCAGCAGCACATCAAAAAGCTTATCCACCACCATCAAGTTGGCTTTATCCCTGGGATGCAAGGCAGGTTCAACATATGCAAATCAATAAACGTAATCCGTAACATAAGCACAGCCAATGACAAAACCCACACAGTTATCTCAATAGATGCAAAAAAGGCCTTTGACAAAATTCAACAGCCTTTCATGCTAAAAACTCTCAATAAACTAGGTATTGATGGAACACATCTTAAAATAATAAGAGCTATCTGTGACAAACCCACAGCCAGTAATGTCCTAGGCCTTCATATTCACTCACCACTCACTCACTCACTAACTCGCCCAGGCAACTTCCAGTCCTGCAAGCTCCATTTATTGTAAGTTCCCTATACAGGTGTACCATCTTAAAAATCTTTTATATTTTCTACTGTACATTTCATGTATTTAGATATACTTAGTTACATAAATACCACAGTTGGTGACTATTACAAATTGTTACCATAAACATAACACTTACTGTGTTACAATTGCCTATAGTATTCACTACACTAATATGCTGCACAGGTTTGTCCCGTAGGAGCTATGAGCTCTTCCATATAGCCAAGGTGTATAGTGGCTACTATATATACCACCTAGGTTTCTGTAAGTACACTCTACGACATTTGCACAATGACAAATTCACTTGACAGCACATTTCTCAGAACATATCATTTAACGCATCGTTAAACAACACATGACTGTATAATGTTAGCTTTTTGTAGATGCTTTTTATCAAGTGGATAAAGTTTCCTCTATTCCTGCTTTATAGAGAGATTTTATCATGAATGGATATTGAAATGTGTTAAATTTGTTAAATGTTTATTATGCATCAACTGATGCAACGTAACTTTTCTTTTGTTTGTTAACATGGTGGATTATTTTGATTGACTTTTTGAGACTTAATCAGGCTTGTATTTCTGGAAACAACCCCCCTTGGACATGGGGTACATTTTTTTAATATACTGTAGAACTCTATTTGTTAATATTAAGTTATACATATCTTTACATATACACACACACACCCACTCTCTCTCCTGGTTTTGGTATCAGTGTAATAATAGCTTCAAAAAATAAATTGGGGAGTGTTCTCTCCTTTTCTGTTTTCTGGAAAAGATTGTGTAGAATTGGTGTTTTTTTTTTTAAACATGGTAGAATTCTCCAGTGAAACCATCTAAACCTAGAGATTCCTTTTCTGGTAGTTTTAAAATTATGAATTCAATTTTCTTAATGGTTATAGAGTTATTCAAATGATCTATTCATGCGTGGTGAGTTGAGTTTGCTTGTGTTGCAGGAGGAACACTGCATTTTGTCCATTTTGTCTAAGTTGTCTAATTTATGTGTGTGGAGTGGTTTGTAATATTCCTTGATTGTCCTTTGTTATATGTGGTGTCTGTAGTGATATCACCTGTTTCATTATGGTATTTAAAATTTATGCCTTTTCTTTTCCTTTTAATTTCTGTTTGAGTTTGCTAAATTTTATTAATCTTTTAACAGAACTATCCCTTTGTTTTATTGGTTTAACTATTTTTTCTCTTTTAAATATAAGTGTTTTCTTTTCTTATCTTCATTAATCTCCACCCTCTACTTGCTTTGAGTTTATTCTGCTCTTCTTTTTCTAGGTTCCTGAGGTGGAAATCTATTGCTCACTCGAGACTTTTCCTCTTTACTAATGCATGCATTTACTGCTATAAGTTTCCTTCTCAGTACATTGATATGTCACAGTTTCATGTTTATCCAGTTCAATGTATTTTTAAAATTTTTCCTTGAGACTTCTTCTTTGACCGATAGATTAGTTAGAAGTGTGTTTTTTTAATTTCCAAGTGTTTGGGAATTTTCATATCTTTCTTATGCTGATTTCCAATTGGATTCCCTACAATGGTTTCTGGTTTTCACCTGCTCTGGATGATTACGATCTCTTTTAAATTTGTTCTGGTGAGTTTTAGGGCCTAGGATAGCTCTATCTTGCCATGTGTTTCGTCAGCACTCAAAAAAAATGTGTATTCTGCTGTTGTTGTGTGGAATATTCTGTAAATGCCAAATAGATTCTTTTGGTTAATGGCATTTTGAGTTGTTTTATATTCTTGTTGATTTTCTTTTTTTTTCCCCCCTTTTAAAATATGAAACGCTTCACAAAATTTTGTGTAATCTATATGCAGGAGACGTGTTAATCTTGTCTGTGTCATTCTAATTTTAGAAAGTGCTGCCAAAGCCAACACTCCTTGCTGATTTTCTGTCTAGTTCTATCCATTATTGAAAAACGCAAGAGAAAATTTCCAACTATAATTGTGGATTCATCTATACCTACTTTCAGTTCTGGCAGTTTTCTTTTTAAAAAAAAAATCAACTAAAGTTTATTAAATTAAGCATAAAGTTACTTTCACATTTATCTACAACCACAGTGAATACAGTTCTTGGCATGAAGACACCACAACCTTTAGAATTTAAAGCCTCCCCACCTGCAAGATTACATATATAAAACTCCCATTATTGTTTCTATAACAGTGGATTAATTCACCAAATTAAAATAGTTATATGATCTAGAATAATAAAATGGAATGATTTACTCATAAGATTCCTATTTAAAACATCTTTATTTACAAAATACTATCCTGAGAATTATAATTCCATTAAACTTCAATTTGAGCAAAAGTGCAATCACTTAAGTAATAGCAGTTACTTAAACTGAAAATGAGATCAGTCAAAATTACTTTTGAAGAAAGCAACAATATTGTCAGGTTTCTTTTGTGGTCCTGGATGTTCAGTAGCATTAAAGGCGGAATCAATCCTGAAGGGAACTCGCTTCTACCTTCAGAATGCGGGGTTGGGGTAAAATCCAGGTCTCGGGTGAAAGTAAGGAGGTAAACCCCTCGGTGGGTAGATGTTTCTCATTGCAAATGGAGCATGTGGTGGACCTGGGAAATCCCTTGGTGGAAAATAACCTCGAGAAGCTCCAAACATGGTTCCTGGAGGAGGTGGGGGGAAAGGAGGTCCTCTTCTCATGAACGGGCCCCTTGTATCCACTGGAAACAATGGTCCTCTGACTGGAGCAAGAGGTGGAGGAATAAAGCCAGGGCCAGTTGCTTCATTTTCAGCAGGGAGAGATGAATCAGGCACATTTAAATTACCAAGATCATCTTTGGCATCATTTCTACTGGATTCCATTTCTGAAGGCATTGACCCATCCATTTTATCCAAAGAAGTCATTTTAAAACTTCTGGGTTCTGCTGATCCAGACAGTCTTTCAGAATTAGAATAAAATCTGTCTTCCCTTTGAGGAGGAAGAGCTGAATCAGGATATGATTGTCCTGGTGGAGGAAACATCATCTTACAGTCCTGTTCCACCGGAGATGACAGGGACCCAGTGTCAGAAGGAGCCCTGTGAGGATCGGTTAACCTGTCACAGCTTGGTTCTCCTCTTTCATTGGTAATCTGATGGTCCAGGGGATTCCCTGGGCCTCTTGGGCCTCTTCCTCCTCCCTCCGGAAGCACAGGTGAGAGTCCCAGTGGATCCTCCAACAAAGTTTGAGGAGAGAGAAAAGCTCTCGTTTCAGATGAACGCTGACCCAATGGTGCGGGACCATTCGGGGCATGCTCTCTGCCAAATGCTGTATTTGAAACATCAAGTGCATTAGGATCTTTTTCTAAAAGTTCAAATTTCAACTCTGTTTCAGTTAATTTTTGTTTGTTGTGAGCATTTTCTTTCCTTAAATCACTGAGGTTTCTTTCAGCAGTCCGAGCTGCCAACCAATTATCATGTCCTCTTTTCTCGTAGGAAATAACCTGCTTTTGATAAAAATGAACAGTTCTCTCCAATTCTTCTTCAAGATCTTTGGCTAGCTTTCTATAGGTCTCCAGCTGTTCAGTGGCACGGCTGAGCTTTTCTTCCACTTTAGAAAGCTTCTCTTCTTCCTCTATTCGGTAATTTTCCTCCACTGTTAATTTCCTATAGAGTTTCATTTCATCTTCTTGATAGAATTCAGTCATTATTTTAAGTTTCTGTTGAAGCTTCTGATTCTCACTTTCAAAATATATGTTTTCTGATTGCAAAGATTCTTGTTGAGTCTGAAGATTTTTAATATGCTCTGTAAGCTCTTCCTTTGTTTTGTCCACTTCAGATAACTGAATAATAATGTGGTTTCTTTCTCCTTCTAAGCTTTTTAAAGAAACATTTAACTTAGCAGCATGAATCAGTTTCTTCAAAGCTCCTTTCAGAGGATCATCTAAGTTAGCACCATTTTCCCATTGACTGTTCACTTCTAATTCCAGGTTATCATCATCCGTTGTGTCTTCTTCAAGCACAGCAGCCTGATCTTTCATCATTGGCAAGTGTCCAGTCAGGGTCTTGATGTGATTTTCTTTATCATTCAGAACTTGTTCTGCGTGTACTTTGGAGTCTTCAAATGTTATTTTCTGTTTATTAAGTTCACTCACTTCTCCTTTCCATACTTCAGCTTCTTGCTGAAAAAGCTGTTTATGGCTTGTCTGAAGTTGAGAATTTTCATTCAAAGCATCTTTTATTGCTATAGCCCGTCGTTCTTCACTCATTTTAAATGTCTTGCAGATGATTTTGGCTTCAGCTATTTGTGATTTGAGGGATTTTGACTCATCTTCTAGAGACTGTATACTTTTTGAAATATCCGCCATCAATTCATCTTGTTGAGAATGTTTAGATTTCTCTTCTTTTAAGTCTTTTTCTAGACAGAGGATTTCATCCTCAAGTTCAGAATTGGACCTGTTCAGCTTTTCACAGGTTGCCTCCAAACTTCGTGCTTCTTCTGCTGCCGCCTTCTCAAAGCTGGCATCCTCTAAAGATGACTCTACTTCATAGCCTTCATACTCTTTTTGAATAAGGCTAAACTTTTCAAGTAGTTTACATTTTTCTTCAATTAGTCCAGAAAGCGTTGCACCAAGTTTTTGCTCTCTTCCCACGTAAAGCCGACTCCTAACCGATCTAAAACTTCTCCACAAAAAAAGGAGAACAACAAAAAATCCAATAACAGCTGCACATACCACCAGTTCCGATGGAAAACCATAAGGATTCTCATCTGGTCTCATACTCTCAGGTAGTGCTGCCACAACTCTGCGTAGCTCCTCCAGGACCAGCCCCAGGTAGGGCTGAGGGGTAGCACCAGGCTCCTCCATAGCGTCGAGGCTGCTCTGGCGGTCACCGCAGTAACACTGGCCACAACAAGCGGTGGAGAACACGCAGCCTTGGGTCTGGAACCCGAATGCGCACGTGACAACCAACCGGAGCGGACCACTGTGGAGCGGGCTGCGGGGGGAGCTGGGGAACGCGGGCACCCACAGGCCTCACAGGCCCATGTTGTCCCCCACCACCTCCCCTGGCCCTCTTGTTACACTTCACATCCTGAGGCAGCGCTGGTCTGAGCCCGGCCCGCCTTAGTTCTGGCAGTTTTCACATCACATATTTTGAAGCTTTATTTTTTGGTGAATACACTTTTAAAATTGCTGTCTTCTTCATGAATTAAACCTTTGATCATTATATAATCTGTTTCTGGTAATTTTCTTTGCTTTATCTGATATACATACAGGCACTCTTGCTTTCCTTTCATTAATGTTTGTGTAATATATCTTTTTTCATCCTGTTAATTTGGCCTGCCCTGTATTGGTAAATTTCAAGTGAGTTTCTTGTACACAGCATGCAAGAAACATATAAGAAAGGGTCATACTTTTACATACACTCTTCTATTATCTGTCTCTTGGTAGACCATTCATAATTAAATGAATTATTGATACTTTAGTGCATAAGCCTGACAGTTTTTGTTTTCTCTATCAACTCTTGTGTCTCTGCTTGTTTTTCATGACTTTCTGTGGGTTATTTGAACATTTATTTTAGAATTCCATTTTGTTATTCATAGTGTTTATGATGTATCTTCTTTTTTATAGTTTTCTGGTTGCTTTTTATAGCTTAGTGGTTGTTCTAGATATTCCTTTATACATACATTATCACAGTCAATTGGTGTCATCTGTATTCCAGTTTGAGTGTAGTATAGCAACCCTGTGTCATTTTATGTCTCTTTACCCTCTCAAATTTATAGTATCATTGTCTTACATCCATTTAGATTAACACCAGACAATGCTATGATTTTTGCTTGAAACATCAAACATAATTTAGGAAATCGAAATCTATGCCAATAAATAAAGTGAGCATTTTAGAGCTGCCAGAAGGAAATAGGACACGACCTGCTTTGTCTTTCATTTTTTCTTTCTTTCCTTTATATTGATCATAGATATTATGATGCCCTATCTATTAACTCCAATATCTGGATTATCTGTGAATTTGTTTTTAATAATTGATTTATTTTTTATGAGTCTGTATTTCTTGCTTTTTTGTGTATGTGGTAACTTTTTAAAAGTATGCTGAGTTTCTGGATAATATGATATAGAAATGCCCAAAAATTTTGAATTTTTTTCTGGACAGATGTTATATTACCTGCAGATCACCTTGCTGCTCTCAAGACCTAGTTTTAAGCTGTGCTATGGTAATGATATTTTATTTTCCTCTTAGGACATATGCCTTACTCCTAGGATACTGTACCTCTCCTTAGACAGAATCTTTAGGGTCCCAACTGGGTTTCTCAGTTGTTTACCAACATTTCCCCATCTGGCTGGATCTGAAACCCAGTAGGTTTCCAGGAAATTTTCAGTCCCTGATGATCTCTTCTGCTTTCCCAGCAGTTGCTTTCTACTAGGTCTCTCCTCTTCTTAGCCAACTGTCACACA
This sequence comes from Homo sapiens, assembly GCF_000001405.40. Taxonomy (NCBI): domain Eukaryota; kingdom Metazoa; phylum Chordata; class Mammalia; order Primates; family Hominidae; genus Homo; species Homo sapiens. The sequence goes on from NC_000007.14 coordinate 143,759,261, forward strand.
GCTAAAGAGTCACGGAAGGACCAAAATGGCATTTACACACCCATTTCCAGGGTTCTTTCTCTCTCCCATATGGTACATTAACCCCCAATTCCCAACCAGCTTATTAGCTTTGAACTCTATTTTTTGCTTCTTTTGGTTACCAAGACCACTAACCTCTGGTTGGGTCCCATTTTCCTGTACCAAGGTCAGGAAGATGCCTTTCTGGAAAACCCTGGCAAATGTGGTACTAACCTCATGTGTCTCACCTTCCTTAAAGATCTCATACCTGACTTGGTACAACAATGTTCTTCAATGCCTGCTGATATGGTTTGGCTGTGTCCTTACCCAGATCCCATCTTGAATTGTAGCTCCCATAATTCCCACGTGTAGCCTTGCCCACCTGAACCATGCTGAGGACCTGGTGAGAGGTAATTGAGTCATGGGGGTGGGTCTTTCCCATGCTGTTCTTGTGATAGTGAATAAGTCTCATGAGATCTGATGGTTTTACAAAGGGGAGCTCCCCAGCACATGCCCTCTCTCTTGTCTGCCATGTAAGATGTGCCTTTGCTTTTCCTTTGCCTTCTATCATGATTGTGAGTTCTCCCCAGCCATGTGGAACTGTGAGTCCACTAAACCTCTTTCTTTTATAAATTCCCTAGTCTTGGGTATGTCTTTATTAGCAGCATGAGAACAGACTAATACAACTGCCAAGAATTTTTTTTCTATATTTTGTCCAGATTGTATAGTTTTTTATCGTGGGAGGGTGAATGTGACACCAGCTACTTTGGTGTCAAGTAGCCAAGTCATGTACTAATGTGTTTTTAATGTAGAGCTATACAGTCTTCTTTCTATACTTAAATTTTTAATTAAAATATGATAATTAAAATATTACTAAAAATTTCTTAATGATTTTATTTCATGAGGGAAGAGACTTGGTCAGGAATGTGAAGTATGGCTTACAAGTATTTTCTTGCTAGCTGTGAAATAGATTGGAGGAAGTATTATCCGGTCCCCCATTTGGCAGATGCAGAACCTTGAGGTTAAAAGACATAAACAGTTTGAAGTTCACCTTATAATTGATTAGAAAGGGCAGACCTGAAACTCAGGTTCAGCATTAGACCTCCATGTCTTTGGCACAAAAACATACCATCTCTTGACTTTTGCCCTGTCTTCATAATTCCAAAGAGCCTGAGATTACTTTCAGACTATACCATTTTCCTTATTAGTAAGTAATCTGTCTGAAGGTCTGCATGAGACAGTCATAGTGTCAGCCAGAAGTCTGACATTCAAGCTCATTTCAAAGCCCCTGGAAATAGACTCTCTTCACTGCCTTCTGTGTGGACGTCCATTGCTCTGCAGTCTGAGACTTGAGTCCACACCAGGCAAACACCTCCCTAACTCCTCAGCCTCCATTCTTATCCCCACGGTCAAAGTTCAAGTCCTCAGCACCTCTCACCTGGACTGTTCCAGAAGCCTCCTCACTAGTTTCCCTACCTCTAGCCACAATCCCAACTGAGCTGTCTCCCAGAATACTGCCAAATTAACCATAAATTTCAGCTTAAAACCTTTCAGTAAATTCCTGTTGCCTTCAGGTAGAATCCTTCAGTAAATTCCTGTTGCCAACCTTCTCATCATCTGGGTCTGCCTTCACCTCCTGCCTCAAGTTCCAGGTTCCCATCTTTGCACCCCTTCTCCCGCAATTCCAAACTGATGATCGTTTTCAGAACATTTCACCACAGTTCATATTTCTGTGCATTTACAAATACTACTCTTTCTTCCTGAAATGGTTTTGCCCTCTTTCTATAACAGGGTTTCCTGAAATGGTTTTGCCTTCTTTCTATAACAGGGTTTCCTGAAATGGTTTTGCCTTCTTTCTATAACAGGAAAACTCCTGTTTATCTTTTAAAATCAGCACCTTGTCCCACCTCCCCACTCCGCCCACAAAAACAAAGAAAAGAAAGGAAGAAGGAAATACCTGATACTGGTAATTTACAATGAAAAGAAGTTGAATTGGCTTATGGTTCTGCAAACTGTACAGGGAGCATCTCCTCAGCCTCTGATGAGGCCTCAGGAAGGTTTTACTCATGGCAGAAGTCAAAGTGGGAGCAGACAGACATCTCACAAGGCAGAGCAAAAGCAAGAAAGAGAGAGTCAGGGGGAAGTGCTACACACATTTATAAATGACCAGATCTCTGAGAACTCACTTACTATGGTGAGGATAGCACCAAGCCATGAGCAATCCACCTCCATGACCCAAACACCTACCATTAGGCCCTACTTCCAACATTGGGGATTATAATTTAACATTAGATTTGGTGGGGACGTATCCAAACTATATCACTCTGCTTCAAGTCGGAGTGTCTTCCTGGAAATTAAAACTTTAATGTAGGCCGGGCATGGTGACTCACACCTGTAATCCCAGCACTTTGGGAGGGCAAGGCAGACAGATTACCTGAGGTCTGGAGTTCGAGATCAGCCTTACCAAATTGGAGAAACCCCGTCTCTACTAAAAATTCAAAATTAGCCAGATGTGGTGGCAGGTACCTGTAATCCCAGCTACTCAGGAGGCTGAGACAGGAGAATCGCTTCAACCCAGGAGGCAGAGGCTGCAGTGAGCCAGGATCGCACCATTGCACTCCAGCCTGGGCAACAAGAGCGAAACTCTGTCAAAGAAAAAAAAAGCTTTAATGTAATAGGCAGACTTCATGAAGATACATTTCATGAAGGTATTGAGTTGGGGGAGTGTACTGATTTATATATTTACCTTCAAAGCATTCTTTTGAATTATTCTGTCAGCATAGAAGACTACGTACATCCACTTCACCTCTACAGATGGGAGCAGCCACACAGCCAACTGAACACCCCATGTTTTCTCTTTGAGAAACAAACTACTTCCTGAGAGTTAGAAGTCTTCTATCCTAGAAAATTTGGTGTTAGTATCAGAAAGATAGACCAAGGCAAGAATATGCAATAAATATTGGCTTGTGCCCCACAAATGGCTGCTTTTTGGTCAGGAACGTGTGCCAGGATATTCTGTGCTGAAGGATCAGTGTCACTGCAAGTCCATGATGAATGCGCATTACTAAGCCACATACTCATAATTAATCTTCAGCGACACGTGAAGAAAACTAAATTTCAAAATGAAAAACGAATAAGTGGTAGAGCAAGAATGTGAAACAGATCATTGAATTCCAGAACCAGTGCCCTTAACTGAGAGAACATAGCATCATAGCTATTCTTTTCCTAATTGCAAGAGCCCAAGATATGCTTAAAGTGAAAAAATATATATATAAATTCACTTTCCTTTAGTGGCCTTTTTTGCTTTTTCATCTGTTCTATGAATCTTTATTCTGAGAGCTGCCTTTACTTTCTCTCTGATTGAAATGGGGATGACAACCAAGGGACCCCACCATTCTCATCATCAGAGTAGGTGTGACTACAGATGGCCAGTCTTAGCATTCCATGCCCTGGACCTCAAGACTTGACTATGAATGTTCAAACGACCTAAGTATAGCCAGTCAGTGTCCAGATGAGTGATAAAGGCATTAATGGAGAAATAATTTCTTTCTTTCTGAGATAATGATTTCTACAAACCATTTAAGCCTGGAATTGCCTTGTAATATTATCTTCACACAAAGAGAGCTTGATGGACAATAAGCACCATCACCACCCACCCCCACCCCTACCATACACACACACATAAATGACAAATCAAAGGCAAAGAGCGATACCCCTAGGGATATTGTTAAAGAATCTAGATATAGTACTGATTAAAGCTCCAGGTCAACATCTAGACATTTTTGTTTCCTTAATCAATAAACTGCTTTTTTTTTTTTTTTTTTTTTTGCTTCTACTTGTTTCAGTTTAGTTTCTATTACCTGCTCACAAAAAATGTATCTAAAAGCATATGTACAATTTAAATAATAATTATAAAGGGAACAATCAGATCAGCAACAGATTAAGAAATAGAATGTTGCCAATAATTGAAGTCCTCCATATGTTCCTCCAAGTTCATTGTCCCTCTCCTACCACCAGATGGAACACTAATCTGACTTCTGTGATCATTCCTTTTGCTCCTTTAGTTTTACTACCTATGTGCACAAACTTAAACTACATAGTTTAGTTTTAACTTGTTTTAAACTGTATAAGAATACAAGAAAGTTATATTTTATGTAATCTTTTATGGCTTGCTTCTTTAGTGCAATACTGTGACATCGTCTGTGTTGATTTGTGTAGCTCTACTTCATTTTTCTTTCTGCCTAATACTCAATTATATAACTATAATACAATCAGTTAATCTATTTTGCTGCTGATTGGTTTTTGATTGTTTTTATTTGGGGCCTATCTGATACTACAAACATCCTTTACATGTATATCTGTGCGAGAGTTTCTCTGGCATACCCTAGGAAAGGAATTGCTGTATCGTAGAATATGCATAGCTTCAACCTTCTTAGATAAAACCAAGCTGTAGATAAAGACAAGTCAAAATCATATCACTTAGAGTATATGAGTTTCCATTGCTCTAGATCCTTAGGAACACTTGATATTATGAGATACATTTTTTTCCAAAGTGATGAGTGCATAGTAATATATTATTGTGGTTTTCATTTGCATTTTCCTCATTACTAATGATGTTAAGCAGCTTTGCATATATTAACTAAACATTTGATTTTTGCTTTTATTTTGAAGTGCTCATTCCATTTTCTTGTGTATTTTTCTATCGGATTTTCTGTATGTCACAATGTTTTAGATATATGAACTTGGTCAGTTACATGTGTGGCCAACAGCTTTTCCCACTCTGGGCCAATTTTCACTCTTCTTGTGGTGTATTTTAATAAACACAACTTCTTAATTTTAAAGTAGTCAAAGTTATTAATCTTTTTTATGATTAATACTATTTGTACCATGAGTAAAAAAAATTGTTTACCCAAATTCCACAAAGAGATTTTTCTATATTATCTTCAAAGAGTTGTATAAATTTTTAAGTTTAAATGAGTTTTGGGCATAGTGAACTAGGAATACAACTGTAGTTTTTTTAAAATATGGATTCCTAATTATAGCACTGTTCATTGAAAGGTTCACTCTTTCTGCCTCATCTACGGGGCCAAAAGTCTGGATCTGTGTGGATCTCTTTGCAGGCTCTCTATTCTTTTCTATTTTTTTTCTTCATCTCTATGCCAATGCTATACTATTGTAATATCTTCATAATAAATCTTGCTAATTATTCTACCTTAGTTTTTGTCAAGAACACACAATTATTCTTGGTTGTTTGTGCTTCCATTTAAATTTTTAAACCAGCTTGTTGCATTCCACTAAAACAAGTGAGTAAACAACTACAATAATGAAAAACCCTGTTGAGATTTTGATTCTAAGTAATTTTTTAAGAATATACATCAATTAGTGGAGACTTGAATTTTTTTTTTTTTTTTTGAGGTGGAGTCTCGCTCTGTCGCCCAGGCTGGAGTGCAGTGGCACGATCTTGGCTCACTGCAACCTCCACCTCCTGGGTTCAAGTGATTCTCCTGCCTCAGCCTCCCGAGTAGCTGGGACTACAGGTACCCACCACCATGCCCAGCTAATTTTTGTATTTTTAGTATAGACAAGGTTTCACCATATTGGCCAGGCTGGTCTTCAACTCCTGACCTTGTGATCCACCCACCTCGGCCTCCCAAAGTGTTGGGATTACAGGCATGAGCCACTGTGCACGGCCGAGAATTGATTTTTTAAAAATTAGTTTTCCAGAGGGGAGGAGGCAAAGCAAGATAGCGGAATAGAAGGCTCCACTGATAGTCTGCCCTGCCACCACAAGGACACCAGGTTAACAACTATCTACACAGAAAAAATACCTTCATACGAACCAAAAATCCGGTGAGCCCTCATAGTACCTGGTTTTAACTTCATATGGCTGAAACAAGCACTGAAGAGATAGAAAAAAAACAGTCCTAAATCAAGTATGCCACCCCTCCTGCACCCTTCAGCAATCATGGCGTGGTGCAGAGAGCGTCTCTAGGTGCTGGGGAAGGAAGAATACAGCAATTGTGAGGCATTGAACTCAGTGCTGTCTTGTTAGAGCAGAAAGGAAAACCAGACCAAACTCCTACAGAGGCCTATGATATTTACTGAAATCAAAGAAATCCTTTTATTATTCTAGAAAGAAGTTGCAATATGACTTTAATATCTCCCCAGTTTTTTTCTGTCTTGTAACCAGCTATAAAACTTTGGGTGATATTGGTCATCAGATTGAATAAGAGGAAACTTTGCAATGGTCCCCTTTTCCCCATTTATACATGCAAGAATCAGAACTTATGGGAATATTTTTAGCAATATTTTTGTGGGGGACGATGATGAAAACTTTCAGAGGAAATAATTAGCTTTTAATTAAATTTCTTGGCCCTTGACATTGTACGGTCCTTGTCTTCATCTCTTACCATGCCTGTTTCTTCTCTCTCCTCACTTGAACTCAGCCAACATTAATTTTGGAGACACTTTTCTCTGAATTATCACCTCACCTTGTCCTGCTTTGTCACTACACTCTGGATCAAGGGCATTCCTCTAAATTGGAAGATCCCCAAGTGTCTTTATATAACTCGAGTCTTTTCCTGACTCTCCTCAAGATGGCACCCAAAGCACAGGCTCCAGCCTCTTCAACTTCGCCGTCCATTACTAGAAAGACAGATCTTTTCTAAAACTCTAACACAGCTTTAAAAAAACAGAAGGCAGGCTCCCCGTAAAAGATCTAGAGAGATGGTATCACATGGTAAAAGAAAACCAAGAACTCGCCCAGAACAAAGTGCTGCAAAGAACAAGAATGACCACAAGAAGTCTTGCAAGTCCAGAGGGAGCAGATGGGGGAAACAGATAAGTCTCAGGAATGCAAGGATAATGTATTCCTAATACATCTATTCGTTCTCTGAATTCACAGATTACAAGAAAAAAAAATTTATGCTCATGCCAAAAAATAAATTGAAAAAATCCAAGTCCCGATGATGGTTAAACATTAGCAGCATAGTAAAATAGAAATAAACTTCCTATGAGAAGTAGTATATCTACCAGAAACCTTCGGCAAGCATTATACTCAGCTGTAAAAAGTCAGATGCATTCACATTAAATTCACAAACAAAAGAATGTTCACTCTCAGTGTTACCTTCAACATACTCATAGAGGTCCTTATCAGTGCATTAAGACAAGAAAAATAAACTGGACAGAAATAAATAAAAGTCATAATATTTGGAAAATATGATCCTTTATAATTTGAGGGTGGATCTAATAGACTTAGTTGATGAATTGGATGTGATAGGGACAGGTAAACAAAGATCAAGGATGATACCTAGGCTTTTGGCTTGAGCCATCAGTGTTTTTCAGAACTTTAACTGAGATAATGGAAAATGAGGGTACGGGATGAAGAGAAAATAGCTAGACAGTTTGAGATATGAGTCTAGACTTTAGAGGTTTGGGGTACAGAATGAAGAGAAGATATTAGATAGGCAGTTTAATAGATGAATCTAGACTTCAGAGCAGAGGTCAGTTCTGCAAATATAAATTTAGAAGTCATCAGAAAATAGATGGTATTCAAAGCTTTAGGCCAAATTGAAATCTCAGAAAAAGAACATTGAGAATGCTGCAAACCAACATTTTGAGGCAAAAAAAAAAAAAAAAAAAGAGAGAGAGAGAGATTTGGAAGACTAGCTCCATGAGATAAGAGAAAAGCTCAAGCTTATTATAGCATCACATAGCTGTGGGAGAGAAGTTTTTTTGGGGGGAGGGAGTGGGAAGGAGTGAGATCGAGATGTCAACATTCATATGTTATTGAATGCTGATAGAAAAATCATATAAATAAAGATGAAAAAGTAACCTTGAAATCTATCCACATGGGACTACTGGTAACCTTGACAAGGTAACGTGGCAGATGAGTTGGAAAGCGAGCTAGGGTGGGTTGAGGAGATCAGGGAAGTGAGGAACTTGAGAAATCTCATGTTCAAAATGCTTTTGATCATTGTTCTTGATAAGGAAGCAGAGAAATCAAGGGATAACTAGAGGGATAAAGGACCCAGAGAAGAGCTTATTTTTTAAGGTGATGAGATACTAGAGAGTATTTTTACATTGATGTAAATAATGCAGTATGGGGAGAGAGATTATGACTTATGTGTTGGAAAGGGGGGGAAGTAAACTAAATTTAATATTATATAAAATTGTAAAATAGTTTACAAGAGAAACCATTTGGATAGAATGTGATCCATAAGTCAGCCTGACAAACTAATTTTCTATCAACTCATTTGGATTTGAAGTTTGTTCTATGCTTGACTTTTAAGAAACTTATGTGTAAAAAAATGCATATTTTTCTTTTAAAGAAATTTGGTTAGCTCAGAGTATTTTGGTGTTTTTGTTTTGTTTTGAGACAGGGTCTTACTCTGTCACCAAGGCTGGAGTGCAGTGGTGTGACCACAGATCACTGCAGTCTTGACTTCCCAGGCTTCAGTGACCCTCCTACCTCAGCCTCCTGAGTAGCTGGGACCACAGGCATGTGCCACCACGCCTGGCTAATTTTCCTGTTTTTGGTAGAGACAGGGTTTCACATGTTGCCCAGGCTGGTCTCAAACTCCTGAACTCAAGCAATGAACCTGCCTTGGCCTCCCAAAGTGCTGGGATTACAGGCATGAATCACCACACCCAGCCCGAGATTGTTTTTAAATAGCAAAATATCTGGGATTTTCCCCCAGTAATGGCACCTTACTTCCGAATATATCTTTGGTATCTGGGATGTACCTATATTAACAAAAGGCTTATTATTAATAATTCATAGTTCAAAACTTTCTATGGATGAAAAAGTGCAGATTTGACTAGAATAATACAGACTGCCTATCTGCTCTCAACTCACTTGATTTAGTTTAATTTTAACCAGAAAAGGGGGCATTTTTAGTTTTCTTTTTCTTTTTTGGCTGCTCAAGCATTTGGATCCTAATTCTGTCTGGGGGCCTCCTAAAACAGTCAGATTCTTAATGGAAGATAGGCCCTTCCTATTTTTAGCCAGTGCACTAGCTAAAAATGCCAAATACATATATTCCTTCCCCTCAACCCGTGTAGCTAGACTGTAGTCAGTTCAAGTCCACGAGGCCATTGAATCTTCTGCAGATGACACTAGGAAGGTGTGAGTGTATGGAATTAACTCTGTTAGTGGCATTCAATGGCCAGTGGCCATAGCAATAGCATTATAACCAATTCTGGTGGCGTAATTTTGACTGTATTTCTGAACATCCAGATCCTAGTTCCTGGTGGTCAGGTTTGTTTCTCCACATACTCTACCAATTATGAGAGCAATCCAAATCACATCTAATAAATTCCTACCTTGCAGAGTTAACCGAGGCTTTCCTTTTGGTTGATTGCTAACAAGATCCCTGAGTGATACACCAGATAAAACACACCTGCGGTATCCTCAGGATAACCTGAGAGCCTTTTTCTCCAAGAATGCCACCCAATTCTTGAAATTTCTGGAAGCCCAAATAGTACCTACATTTTCCCGTTTGTATTGGGTCCTACTTGGCTCACAACGGTCTAAATTATTTTTCAAAGTTCAGTATCCATTTATTGTGAAGATAAAGGTGCCTGTGTTGTGATCCCTGCATGCGATGAAAAAGTGCCATGTGGAACTGTTAGTTTGAAAAAATTCACCAAGAGGAGGCAGAAACTCATGAAATATTAGTTGTTGAAATCAAGAGTGAGAATCAGTTTTAGATTCTCATGTTTTTGGAACATTTCAAAAGACTTAATATTCTGGTAAAAAAAGAAATTTATATATTCTGGGATAATGATAAATATATCACTTTGCTACAATTCATCTCGGATTTTTGTCTCCTTTCTTACTGTTTTAGCTTTCCGATTTTGCTTTTGTCTTCATGCTGCACCTCATCTTCCTTCTAAGCTTTCAGACTAAACATTCCGTTCCTTTACCTGTAGAAAAAAAAATGTGGTTGTGGATGTGTTCCTTTTATAGTAAGTGCTGAAAAACTATAAACTTTAAGCCAAAAGGACAATACTTCTTTCAAAACCCTTCCTTTAACAAATCACTTTGCAGAGCATTAAAAAGACCATAAAGAGACAGTACGTTTTCCCCAGCCATTGAAGGTATGATGAATGGTACAACCTGAGAGTGAATGGAAGAGCCACTTTATAAAGTTTAAAGAACCAATACTTGGGCTTAGTTATGGACTTCACACTAACCAGAGATACAAGGCATTTTAGCCGAATGACAGTGGACCGAACTAATCCTATAAAGTGACAAGGGGAAACACTGGGACCCTCCACTGTGACATATCTTGGAGTGAAGGCTTGGCAGGAAGTCAGTCTTGCATAAACATAAAAGCCAAACTCTTTTAGAAAACATATTATCAGAGATGATTTATTTTTATATGAGAATAGTTCTTTTAAAAAATATTTTAGATCTTTTTCTTGAATATAAATATTGATTTACTAATATGACCTGTCTTTTTTCATTCTCTAGACAACAATGATTTCTTAAGAAGAGGCAAATGGAACTCAGAATAAGCAATCATAGAATACAAGCATAGAATAATTTCAATAATTTTTGCATTTGAACACAAAAAATGAGCTACTAAAAGCATAGCCCCCTTCAAGTTGTAATTCAAACACATAACATAATTTGACTTCAATAGGCAAAGCAAATGACACTTACTTGGAAATTTCTAAGGTACTTACAGAAAGTCAAGGAGAGGACTTAAAGTGAAGAAAAAATATGTCTGACTAATAGTGAATAAAATTATTATTGATGCAAAAAGCATTGTTGAATGAAATCTTTTCAGCATCTTAAATATATAATGGTCTAAAGCTTGACCACCTCAAGTTCTTTTTAGAAGCAGGCAGAGGAAAAGAGAGAAAGAATGAATATAAGAACATTTACATCCAGAGTATACAACTCCAGAAGATAGAATTTATTCCTGTTTCATCTTTGTGTGCACTTTTCCCCATGGTTAACCAGTGCATTGCACTAGAAGGCTCAGTGTTTGTTGAATAAATAATCCCAGAAATAACTAGAAAATAGTGCAGAACAGTGAAGAGAGAGCTTAAGTAGAGATCAGGAAAGATACAGCATCTTCTTCCTTTCTTTACTATGTTGAGATACTCTCTGAGCATTGTTTTCCTTATTTGAAAAATGAAGAGTCAAAATGCCTTAAGTACCTTTCAGTTCAGAAATTCTTTGCTTTGAGAGTAAATATACTTAAGATTGAGTGCTAGAATTCAGAATTTTGCAGTGCAAGTTAAAAAATAATTCTATCTTTGGGGAGAAAAAAAATGGGGTTATATTTTATTTATTTTTTATACTCTGTCAGTAGACTAAAGGGGGTCTTTAATTAGTAAAATTGTACATTTCAATATGTTCATGCTTGCACACAGAAAGGTGCTGAGTACCTGCCATGGCTGTACTGCAATGTCTATTGTAAATGTTAGCTCTTTGGGGGGCAAGCATACCCACATTCATATGGCATTTCCTAAGCCTGTTTTCCTTCTCAGCGTTAAACTCACTGATGCAAACTGCCCAGCTGTGTTTTAATTAAACTTCTACTCCCACTTTCCTTTGGGCTTTTCAATCATATACGCTTCTCTTTCCCCTCTTTTCCCCATAGTCTTCTCTCTCTTTTCCCTAAACTCCCGCCACATAGGCCTGTGGTGAGGAGAGCTGACAATAATGAGGCCCCAGGAACTGGTTCAAAGCCTGCTGTAAAACTTTTTAAATTAAACCCTTGAGATTTTAAGAGTTTGTAATTAGAATGCATGGTTTGAAATGAATTAACATAACCCTGCCATCTAGCTGGCATAACCCAGTGCCCATGAGTCTGCTGATCTCTGGGTGCTTAAGCCCTGGCAGAGCAGACTGTTTCTAACCATTGACCATCCTGTCCCAAAAGTGGGCAATGTCTTCTTTGAACCTTTTGGGAAGTGTCCCAAATTCTCCTCCTATTGAACTGTTAGAATGTGCTTAATTTTCCACTGTAAGAATAGGTTGCTTTGATGAGTATCTATTGGGATAAGTTTTTGCCTTTGTGAAATTTCTTCAAAATAGATTCCCAGAAGTAGGATTAGAGTGGGAAGGGTAGAAATATATTAAGGGCTCATCATAGATGCCAAATCCCTTTCTTTTCACTCATCCATACAAACAAATACTTATTGAGCACCTGCTGTGTACCAGGTACTCTTCTAGGTGCTGAAATTTGGTTGTGAACGAGATAGGTGAAGTTTCTGATATCGTGGAATACTACTTTACTGGTTAAGGAAGACAATCAATAAGTGGGCAAAAAATACATAATATAATTATAAATGGTAACAAAAGCTATAAAAACATATAAAATGGAACGATAGAGAATAGGGGTTGGCTTCTGTCCTTTTGCAGTCCATACAATTTATCAGGAAAATTGGTCAGCTTTTCCTTCTAAGTACGTAGAGAACTTAATATCTTCTCTACCTCTGTATTGTTATCTCCCTAATCCAGGTCACCATCATCCTTTGCTTGGACTTTTGCAAGAGTTTCTTAATTGATCTTCCTGCTACCATATTACCCCCCATAGTCTGTTCTCCCCACAGCAGTCAGAATGATTCTTTTAAAGTGTAAGTCAAGTCATATAACTCAGCTGCAGAACACTTCCAATAGCTCCCTTCTCTCTCAGTGTAAAATCTGTCATTTCCATGGCTTGTAGAAGAATCTGCGGCCTGGACACTGCTGCTTCTCTAAACTCATCTCTACCATTCCCCTCCCCAGCTGCAATCCTTTCAAATTTCAAGCATGACACTTCCTCAGTGACTTTGCACTTGCTGTACCCTCTGTTTGGAATATGGTTTCCCCATATATATCTCACTCCTTCAGTTCTTTGCTCAAATATTACCTTTTCATAGAAATAGTCATTAACCATCCCAAATAAAATAGTGTGGCATTCCCATGTCTCTCTTTATCCTACTTTCTTTCTCTTCATGGCACTTATCGTCACTTGACATATTTATTTGTATATTTTATTGACTGTTTTTACCCACTAAAATAGAAACTTCATAGATCAAATACTTTATCTGTGCTGTTCACTGCTATATCCCCAGTATCTAAATTGATACCTGGCACATAGGTAATGGCTCAATATTTGTTAAATTAATGAAGAAATTAATGACTTTGTTTGAACCTGGTGAGAGATTTCTTGGAATATGCTGTGAGTCTAGACCATGTGTCCTATCCAAGTTGTTTTTAATTTTTATCAATGTCATGGATCAAGAAATAGTAGAGGCCCAACAAACTATATGCTGTCTTGGAGTCCAGCAGTGCTGGAGCTGGGGCTCAAGAGAAGTGCAGGCTGTGTCCCCAAGATCTAGGCGTGAGTGACCCTGGGCTATCACACCTGGGGCTAAGGTGCAGTGCTGCTGGGACTGAGGTGCAAGTGGTGCACACATTCCCCATCCATTGGCCTATGCTGTTGCCAATGAAGGCAGAACTACCCTCCCCAGTGGCAGGATAACAGCACAGTTGTTTCTTCCCCCAGTGCAAGCATTCCACCAGTGGCCTGCGGATCACCCAACCCCTTTGTACCTTGGGTGGCTCCTCCACACGCCACTGGAGGCCTGAGGACAAGCTCATCTGACCCAGATTTACCCCCTCTCCATAAAAGAGCACATAGTCTAGGGGCCAGGGGATTTCCCAACTTGGTTCACCACCATCGGAACCTAAACACTCCTCCCAGGGGCCTACTCACCAAAATGAGAATACCACAACTGGCACTTATCTGCATGTGCCGCCTGCAAGCCTAAAGACTGGCCCATGCAGCCCATTGCAGCCACCACCAACACCAGCACATACTTCTCAAGACCCAGAGGATTGTTCTGCCACTGACTCTACCTTTGCCCATGCCATACTGGTTGCCTAGAGGTCCAAGAACCTGCCACCCACCTTGCCCAAAGTTGCCACTACCAGCATATGAGTAAGCTTCCAGAAGGCCCAAGGGTTAGCCTGACTGTACCCACTAATACTAGTGCCAGTTTACACTGCCCCCCGGTGCCCAAGAACAGGCATGCTCAGCCCAACACTGGTACCAATGGTGCTGGAAAACTGGCCTACTTGGCTTCCCAGTCCCCAGCAGAACTTCACCACAGTTTCCAGCTGTACCCTAAGCCACCAAGGAGATCACAGATACCACTGATGCTGTTGAAAGCTACACTACTGCATGCACCCAGAATCAAACCCAAAACATTCTACCCAACAAACACCATAGATACATCTTCAAGAAAGTTTTCCTTTATAAAAGCAAATTCAACAAGTTGGAAGAAACTAATATTATTTCAGATATGTCAATATCAATGTAAGAACACAAGAAACATGAAAAATCAAGGAAATATACACCTCCAAAGGAACAGAATAACTCTCCAGCGATAGATTACAATAAAAAACAAATGAATGAAATCATGGGAAAAGAATTCAAAATTTGAATATTAAAGAAGCTCAGTGGAATACAAGAAATTTCTGAAAAATTACAAAGAAATCAGAAAAACAATTCAGGATATGAATGAGTAATTTGCCAAAGATAGAGATAATAAAAAAATAGCCAACCAGAAATTCATAAACTGAAGAATTCATTTAATGAAATACAAAATATATTCAAAAGCTTCAACAAAAATAGACTAGATCAAGCAGAAGAAAGAATCTCAGAACTTGAAAGCAAGTCTATTGAAATAACACAGCCCAACAAAAATACAGAAAAAAGAATAGGCAAATTCTTCATAGTATATGAACCACCATAAAGTGGCCAAATTTTGAATTACTGGGGTCTCAGAAGGCAGAGAGAGAACAAAAGGATTAGAAAACTTATTCAACATAACAATACATAACAACTTCCCAAATCTAGCAAGAGATTAAGGCATCTAGATACAACAGGCTCTGAGATCCCCAAACAGATACAATGCAAAAAAGTTTTCATGAAACATTACAGTCAAAATGTCTACAGTAAAATACACAGAAAGAATTCTAAAAACAGCAAGAAAAAACATATAGTCACCTTTAAAGGAACCCCCATCAGACTAACAGTGAATTTCTCAGTAGAAGCCTTTCTGCCAGGAAGAATGAGATGATATATTCAAAGGGCTAAGAAAAAAATATATATATTGCCAACAAAGGATCTATTTCCAGCAAATTATCCTTCATAAATGAAGGAGAAATAAAAAAGTCTTTCCCAAAGAAGCAAAAGCTGAGAAAATTCATCACCACTTAACTGGTCCTCCAAGAAATGCTCAAGGCAGTCCTAAACCTGGAAGAAAAAGACAGCATTTACCATCACAACAACACAACGAAGTATAAAACTCACTGGTAAAACAAACACACAAATGAGGAAGAGAAAGAACTCACACAGTACCACCATACAAAACTACCAAACCACAATGACAAACAATAAAAGAAAAAGAAAGGAATGAAGAATATACAAAACAACCAGAAAACAATGAACAATATGACAGAAACAAAACTTCACATCTGGCCAGGTGTGGTGGCTCATGCCTGTAATCCCAGCACTTTGGGAGGCTGAGGCGGGCAGATCACCTGAAGTCAGGAGTTTGAGACCAGTCTGGCCAACATGGTGAAACCCTATCTCTACTAAAAAAAAATACAAAAATTAGCCAGGCGTGGTGGCACGTGCCTGTAATCCCAGCTACTTGGGTGGCTGAGGCAGGAGAATCACTTGAACCTGGGAGGCGAAGGTTGCAGTGAGCCGATATCATGCTACTTCACTCCAGCCTGGGCAACAGAGTGAGACTCTTGTCAAAAAAAAAAAAAAAAAAAAAAAAAAAAACAACTTCGCATATCAATAATAACCTTAAATGTAAATTGATTAAATTCTCCACTTAAAAGATACAGACTGGCTTAATTGATTAAAAGAAGTATATATGATCCAACTATGTGCTGCCTACAAGAAACACATTTTACTTGTAAAGACACACACAGACTGAAAGAAAAAGGATTGAAAAAGATATACCATGCAAACCTAAACCAAATGTGAGCAGAAGTTGATTTACTTATATCAGATAAAAGAGACTTTAAGTCAAAAATAGTAAGAAAAGGCAAAGAAGGTCATTATATAATGATAAACAGATCGATTCGGCAAGAAGATATAATAATTTTAAATATACATGCACCTAGCATTGCAGTACCCAGATTCATAAAGCAAATATTACTAGATCTAAAGTGTTGTGGGAAGTCAGGGACCCCGACTGGAGGGACTGGCTGAAGCCATGGCAGAAGAACATAAATTGTGAAGACTTCATGGACATTTATTAGTTCCCCAAGTTAATACTTTTATAATTTCTTAAGCCTGTCTTTACTACAATCTCTGAACATAAATTGTGAAGATTTCATGGACATTTATCACTTCCCCAATCAAAACTCTTGTGATTTCCTATGCCTGTCTTGTCTTTAATCTCTTAATCCCATCATCTTTGTAAGCTGGGGATGTATGTCGCCTCAGGACCTGTGATGATTGCTTTAACTGCACAAATTGTTTGTAGAGCATGTGTGTTTGAACAATATGCAATCTGGGCACCTTAAGAACAGGATAACAGTGATTTTCAGGGAAATAGGGAGATAACCTTAAAGTCTGGCTGCCTGTGGGCCGGGCAGGACAGAGCCATATTTCTCTCCTTACCAAAAACGGGTAAGAGAAATATCGCTGAATTCTTTCCCTAGTAAGGAATATTAATAATTAACAGCCCTGGGAAAAGAATGCATTTCCAGGGGGGCCTCTAAAATGGCCGTTCTGGGGGTGTCTGCCTTATGCAGATGTAGATAGGGATGAAACACGCCCTAGTCTCCTGCAACGCCCCCAGGCTTGCTAGGATTAGGAAATTCCAGTCTGGCAAATTCTAGTTAGACAAGTTCTCTGCTCTTGAACCCTGTTAAGATGTTTATCAGTGACAGTGGGTGCACAGCAGGACATGGAAGTTCATTAGTGATTCTAGTTTTGCCCTGAACTTGTGATCTTGCCCTGCTCATCTGCCTTGTGATCTTTTGTTGCCCTTAAAGCATGTGATCTCTGTGACCCACACCCTATTTGTACACTCCCTCCCCTTTGAAAATTGCTAATAAAAACTTGCTGGTTTTACCGCTCAGGGGGCATCACGGAACCTGCCGACATGTGATGTCTCCCTCTGACACCCAGCTTTAAAATTTCTCTCTTTTGTAGTCTTTCCCTTTATTTCTCAGACCAGCCGACACTTAGGGAAAATAGAAAAGAACCTATGATGAATTATCAGGGGTTGGTTCCCCCAATACTAAAGAGAGAGATAAATTCCAGTACAACAACAGTGAGGGACTTCAACACCCCACTCTAAGCATTAGACAGGTCATCTAGATGTAAAATCAACTAAAAAATATTGAATTTAACTGGACTATAGAACAAATGGACCTAACAGACACACCTACAGAACATATTATTCAACAACTGCAGAATACGCATTTTTTTCTACTCAGCATGTGGAACATTTTTCAGGATAGATCATATTTTCAGCCACAAAAGAAGAAGTCTCAACAAATTCTTAAAACTTGACATTATATTAAGTATTTTCCCATACAACAGTGGAATAAAACCAAAAATTAATACAAAGAACAACTTTGGAAGCTATACAAATACCTAAAAATAAAACAACATGGTCCTGACTGAAGAAATAAAAATGGAAATAAAAACATTTATTGAAACAAATAAAAATGGAAACACATGATGCCAAAATCTGTGGAATACAACTAAAGCAGTACTAAGAGGGAAATTTATACCAATAAACATCTGCATCAAAAGAAGTAGAAAGTTTTCAATTAAACAATGTAATGATGCACCTCAAAGAATTATTATAGAAAAGGAAGAACAAACCAAACCCAAAATTAGCAGAAGAAAAGAAGCAATAAAGATAGGATGAGAACTAAATAAAATAGAGACTAAAAGACAAGGATCATTAAAACAAAAAGTTCTTCAGAAAGATAAACACAACTGACAAACCTGTAGCTAGACTAACCAAGAAAATAAGAGAGAAGGACTAAATAACAAAATTAGAAATAAAAAAGGAGACATTACAGCTGATACCAAAGAAACATAAAAGATCATCAGAGATTATTATGAGTAACTATACACTAATAAACTGGAAAGCCTAGATAAAATAGATACATTCCTGGAAACATACAAACTACCAAGATTGAATCAGGAAAAGATAGAAAACTTGAACAAACCAATAATGAGTAGTGACATTAAATCAGCAATAAAAAGACTCCCAACAAAGAAAAGCACAGGACAAGATGGACTCACTTTCAAATTCTATAAAGAACTAATATCAATCCTCCTCAGACTATTCCAAAAAATCAAACAACGTGGAATTCTCCCTAACTTACTCTAGGAGGTGAGCATTGCCCTGATACCAAAACCAGACAAGTACACACACACAAAAAGAAAACTACAGACCAATACCCCTGATGAACATAGACACATAAATTCTCCACAAAATACTAGTAAAATGAATTTAACAGCATGTCAAAAAGATAGTACCCCATGAGCAAGTGGGTTTCATCCCAGGGATACAAGGACGGTTTAACATATGCAAATGAATAAATGTGACACATCACATGAACAGAATGAAGGGCAAAAACTATATGATCATTTCAATAGATGCAGAAAAGGCATTTGATAAAATTCAACATCATTTCATTATAAAAACTCTCAACAAACTAGGTATAGAGGGAACATACCTCAAAATAATAAAGGCCATATATATGACAAACCCACAGCCAACATCATACTGAATGGCAAAAAGTTGAAAACCTTTTCTCTAAGAACTAGAACAAGACAAGGATGCTCACTTTCACTACTCCTATTCAACATAATGCTAAAAATACTATTTCCCCTAGACAGAGAAATCAGACAAGAGTAAAAAATAAAAGGCATTCAAATTGGAAAAGAGGGAGTCAAATTGTCTCTCTTTGCACATGAAATAATCTTATATTTAGAAAAAAAAGATTCCACCTAAAAATGATAAGCAAATTCAATAAAGTTGAAAAATATAAAATCAACATATAAAAATCAGTAGCATTTCTATAACCAATAATAAAACAGCCAAAAGAGAAATCAAGAAGACAATCCCATTTACAATTGCTACCAAAAAAAAAATACCTAGGAATAAATTTAACCAAGCAGGTAAAAGATCTCTACAAGAAAAACTGTAAAACACTGTTAAAATGAATTAAAGAAGACATAAACAAATAGACATCCCATGCTCATGGATCAGAAGAATCAATATTGTCAAAATGACCAATGAAATATCCAGATTCAATAAAATCCTTATTAAAATACCAATGTCATTTTTTACAGAAATAGAAAACAAAATTCTAAAATTCATATGGAATAAAAAAAGAGCCAGTATAACCAAAACAATCCTGAGCAAAAAGTACAAAGCAGAAGGCATCACACTACTTGACTTCAAAATATAGTACAAGGTTATAGTAACCAAAAAGCATGGTATTGACATAGAAATAGACACAGAAACTAATGGAAGAGAATAGAAAACCCAAAAATAACTCTACATATTTACAGCCAACAGACTTTCAACAAAGTTGCCCAGAACATACACTGAGGAAAGGATACCTTCTTTAATAAATAGTGCTGAAAAAAATGGGATATTCACATGCAGAAGAATGAAACTGGACCCTTATCTTCCACCTTATATAAAAATCAATTCAAAATGGATCAAAAACTTAAAAGTAAGACCTTAAACTATAAAACCACTAGAAGAAAACAAAGGGAAAATACTCCAGGATATTTGTTTAGGCAAAGATTTTATGGCTGAGACCTCAAAAGCAGAGAAAACTAACACAAAAATAGACAAATAGCACTATAGTAAACTAAAAAAGTTTTTGCACAGTGAAAGAAACAATTAACAAAGTGAAGAGACAAACTGTTGAATGGGAGGAAGTAGTTGCAAACTATTCATCCAACCAGGGACTAATATCCAGAATATGCAAGGAATACAAACAACTCAACAATAAAAAAAAACAAATAATTCAATTAAAAAGTGGGCAAATGACATGAATAGACAATTTTCAAAGGAAGACACACAAAAGCCAACAAGCATATTAAAAAATGCTCAACATCTCTAATCATCAGAGAAATGCAAATCAAAACCATGATGAGATATTATCTCATCCTAATGAGAATGGTTATTCCTAAAAAGACAAAAAATAAATAAATAAAAACAGATGCTGGCAAGGATGTATAGAAAAGGGAATACTTAACAATCGCAAAGGTATGGACTCAATCTAAGTGTTCATCAGTGGGTGAATGGATAAAGAAAATGTGGTATATATACACAATGAAATACTATTTGTTCATAAGAAAGAATGAAATCATGTCATCTGCAGCAACATGGATGGAAATAAAGGTCATTATGTCAGGTGAAATAATCCAGGCACAGAAAGACAAATACCACATGTTCTTACTCATATGTAGGAACTAAAAACCTTGATCTCCTGGAGGTAGACAATAGACGGGTAGATATGACACCAGAGTTTGGGAGGGTGTGAGAGTGGGCGGAGGGAGAAAGGAAAAGAGGTTCATGAAGAAGCACAAACTTACAGTTAGATAGAGGAAATAAGTTCTAATTTTCAATAGCAGACTAGGATGACTATAGTTAACAACAACATATTGTATATTTCAAAGTAGCTAGAAGAAAGAACTTGAAATGTTACCAACATGCAGAAATGACAAATACTCAGTATGATGGATACCCCAAATACCCTGACTTGATGTTACATGTTCGATGCACATTAAAAATGCTCACATGTACCCCCATAAATGTGCAAAACACTATGTACCAATAAAAGGAAAAAAGAAATAGTAGAGGGTCTCACAAGCATTGTATACATGATTTGTTAGCAGAATCATGTTCGGCAATGCTTTTCAAACCGCAGGTCACTAACAATCAGTAGTCTGTGAAGGTAGTTTAGCAGGTTGTGATCAGCTTCTTGTTAACAAAAGAGAATTCATCCAGGCTGGAACAAAATAGAATTGAATTGAAAAAAATACTTTCTCACATGTAATATGGCTGAGTGTTGTTTTGTGAAAGTTCGTTTTAATTATATGTAAATGGGCTTTTTGAGCACATAATGAAATATGATATAAAAAGTATTTGTTATTATAGGTCACAGTGTTTTAAAAAAAAACAATGGCCTACAATATTGATTCTCAGGAATCCACCCAAAATTTCCAGGAAATAAAAATACCAGAAGAAAACAATGAACTGGAAAAACAATGAAAGAGAAGCAAAGAGAGAACCAATGACCAAAGAGTTGTTCCTTTGAAAAAAGTCCATAAATTAATAGTGACTAGCCATATCGGCCAAGATAAAAAGAGAGAAGACACAAATTATCAATTTTAGGAATGAAGGTTAGAAAATTATTTCAGATCCTTCCTAGTCATTTATAAACATAAAAATAAATCATACATGTGTCATACATGACACAGCAGCAATACTCACTGAAGAAGAAATAGGTATCTTGAATAAGCTACTATACATTAAAGAAATTGAATTTGTGGCTTAAAATTCTCAAAGAAAAATCTTCAAGTCCAGCTGGCTGTACTAACACGTTTTTCCTAACATTTCAGAAAAATGTAATATAATTATACACAATTTTTTCCATAAGATAAAACGGGAGGGAATGACACCCAGCTCATTTTATAAACTCAGCATTACCTGATATTAAAAACAAAGACATTATAAGAAAACTACAGACGAAATATCCCTCACAGCATAGATATGAAAATATTCAATCGAATGCTAGCACTTACAATCCAACAATATGTAAAAAAAAGATAATATATCATTACCAAGTGAGGTTTATTTCATCGTGAAAAGATAGTTAAGCATTCAAAAGTTAATTAAATTAGTTCACCACATCAGTAGACAAAAGAAGAAAAACATTGCTCATCTCAAAAGATGCAGAAAATCACTGGACAAAATTTGAAATCCAACCATAACAAAAATTCTCATCAATTAATAATAGAAAGGAACTTCCTCAAACTGAGGGAGAGTATCTACAAAATGGGCTGCTAACATCAGAGTTAATGCTAAAAGACCAAATGTTTTGCCCCTAAGATCAGGAATAAGGACGAGAAGTCCATTCTTACCACTCTTTTTAGACACACTGAAAATTCTAAGTGCAATAAGAGAAGAAATTCAAAAAAAAAAAAAAGACCTACAGATTAGAAGAAGTAAAAATGTTTCTCTTTGCAGATGACATGATTGTATGTTTAGAAAATTGTAAGAATCTACAAGAAAGGTATTAGAACTAATTAGTAAATTTAGCAAGGTCAATAGTTAGAAGGCCAATGTATATTTAATACACAAAATCACATTTCTGTCTACATTCTATATACTACCAGTAGAAACTGAAAATTTTCAAGCAGTGCTATTATAATAATAAGAAAAATAAGAAACACTTTGGTATAAATTTAACAAAATATGTTTATACAAGTGTACAATCTGCATATTGAAAACTCCAAAACGCCAGTGAAAGAAATCAAAGGCCTAAACAAATACAAGATGTTCGTTATTCAAGATTTGCAAGTCTCAACATTGTTATATTAATTTATTAACGTTAATCATAAATTAACCTTCCATAGATTCCATGCAATCTTACAAAAAATCCCAGCAATATTCTTTTTGGAGAAATTGACAAGTTAATTCTAAAATTTTTATGGAAAAAAATCAAAGGAATTACAAGAGCTGATATAATTTTGAAAAGAACAAAGCCCAAGGACTTAATTATTTCATTTCAAGACACATTAATCAAGATGTATAGATCAAGATTAAAGTATAAAGCTACATTAATCAAAACAATGTCATATTGGTGAAAGGACAGACACATAAATCACTGTAACCAAACAAAGTCCAGATAAAGACTCACATATAAATTATCAATTAATATTTGATAAAGGTACAAAGAAAACTCAGTGCAGAAAAGAGAATTTTTTTAACAGATGGTCTGAAAAAATTGAACATCCATTTGCAAAATTTTTTAAATCTTGACCCATACTTCACACCATATGTAAAAATTAAATAAAAATGAATCATAAACTGAAGTGTAAGAAAAAATAAAAATTCAGAAGAAATCATAAGACCACAAATTGATACCTTGGATTAAACAAAGACTTATTAGATATGAAATCTAATCTCAATCATGAAGATAAAATTGATAGTGATTCATCAAAGTTAAGAACTTCTGCTCTTGTAAGACACTGTTCAGAACCTTAGAAGACAAGCTGTACACCAGGAGAAAATATTTGCAAAAGGCATTTCTGATGAAGAACCGGTATCCGAGATTTCTGCCTCTCTTCCCAGTGGGGTCACAACCTTCAGCCCACTCAGGATACTGGCAACAGCTGAGGTACTAAGTATTGGTAAAAAACTGAATGAGGGTAAAACAAAGTCCATAAATTATTAGATAGTCCAGAAAAAATCCTCCTGCAGTTCAAGGACCAGATAACAGCAGGAAATGCAGTTAGAAAGAATCACCTGGGCCAGGTGCGGTGGCTCAGGCCTGTAATCCCAGCACTTTGGGAGGCCGAGGCGGGCGGATCATGCGGTCAGGAGAGACCACCCTGGCTAACACAGTGAAACCCCGTCTCTACTAAAAATACAAAAAATTAGCTGGGCATGGTGGCGGGCGCCTGTAGTCCCAGCTACTTGGGAGGCTGAGCCAGGAGAATGGCGTTAACCCGGGAGGCGGGGCTTGCAGTGAGCCAAGATCGTGCTACTTCACTCGTGCCACTGCACTCCAGCCTGGGCGACCGAGCGAGACCTGCCTCAAAAAAAAAAAAAAAAAAAAAAAAGAAAGAATCACCCGGAAGTAAAAGGTAAAAGCTGCAATCTCAAATAAAATTACCAGTTGTGTTTTTCAGTTGTTACAGGAAGCAAGTGTCAAAACTGCTTTCACCAGAAAATGTGGGGAAACAGACAGCTTTTGCTGCTCCCGAGTGTGAAATGATTCCAACTGAATGGGTTTGCAGAAGAATAGCAACTGATTCTTTTTTCAAAAGAAATCCTGATGACAAGGAAGGATATAAGTTTTACCCACCTAAAGTGGAGATGTTTTTCAAGGATGATGCCAGTAATGACCCAGAGTCATCTGAGGAACAGCTAATTGCTCCAAAATTTTGCTTTGGTGAACTTCTCATAGGCCAAACTGAAGTGGATATCATGTCATATACTACATAGGCTCTTTTTTGAAATACTGGAGAAATCTTGGTTGCCCCAGAACTGTATGCTGGTTGATATGAAGATCAAATTTGGTGTTGATGTAACCCCTAAAGAAATTGTTCTTGCTGATGTTATTGATAATGATTCCTGGAGACTCTGGCCATCAGTAGATGGAAGCCAACAGAAAGACAAACAGCCTCATCAGGACCTCAAAGAAGTAACTCCTGAAGGGCTCAAGATGGTTATAGAAAAACTTAAGAGTGGGTTGCAGAGAGAGAAGAGTTGCTTTTGAAATTAGAAAGTCCGTGCGGGATGGCAGTATTGGTAGGCTCTACTTCTGATCTTGGCCACTGTGAAAAAATCAAGAAGGCCTGTGGAAATCTTGGCATTTCCTGAGAACTTCAAGTAACATCTGTGCATAAAGGACCAGATAAAACTCTGCGGATTAAAGGTGAGTGTGAAGGGGATGGCATTCCCACTGTGTTTGTGGCAGTGGCAGGCAGAAGAAATGGTTTGGGACCAGTGACGTCTGGGAACACTGCATATCCAGTTATCAGCTGTCCTCCGCTCAAGCAGACTGGGGAGCTCAGGATGTGTGGTCTTCTCCTCGACTACCCAGTGGTCTCAGCTGCTCAACCACCCTTTCTCCAGAAGGATCAGCTCAGTTTGCTGCACAGATATTTGGGTTAAACAATCATTTGCTGTGGGGCAGACTGTGAGCAAGCGTTTTGAACACATGGATTTTCTTGAAGCAGGTTGACAAGGAAATCAGAGAACGTAATTTATAAGAAAGATTGTCATTGCTTTTTTTAGGGGGGAACTACAAATGTTTAGCTGCAGGAAAATCAAGCAAGATGAAAAGATGATGCTAAATTAGAGAACACAAATACAATGTATTAGTGAATAAATGCTTTTCCAGATCCATAGGTATGTAGAATATCTGTTCATATTTATTAATATCTCCTTATGAGCAGAGAAGTTACTATAAGGACATTTTCAAATTACTCTCCTGTCCACTGTATGGTCATTGTTAGGTGATAATATAATTAAAGAAATATCTTTTATAAATGCTAATAATGTTCTATTATAAAGCTCTAGAGTTATTACCTGACCTTCTGTATGTCAATCCATAAGTTTTAGAAAGTAAAACTGGCTATATTTTAGGTGATAAGAGCAATATAATTCTCATTCACTCTGTGGTCTTCACAAAATTCTAAGGGTATAGTTCTAAATTTTCAATTAGTATTTCAGAAAGTGATTTCTATTTACATGTATATCTATAGATACGTTTTGATTTTCTTTTAAGGAAAAGTTGAGATTGGGTAGAAAACAAGGTAGAGGAACACTGTTGGACCCACGGAAAGGGGACTTTTCTGAGACTTTCTCTGTTGGTTTTTAGAGCAATTTTCCATGGAAACAGTAGAGTTACCTTTGCCATGCCAAATGAAGATTTAGCGAATCTTACTTGGCTATGTAACAACAACAACAACAACAACACTCAATCATAAAATGAACAATTTGATTTTTAAGATGTTCAAAATATTTTATTAGACATTCTACCAAAGAAGATATGCAGATGGCAAATAAACACAGGCAGAAATACTCAATATCATTTGTGGGAAAAGCTGTCTTCTTTATATTTTCCCATATTTAATTTTTTTCTACTATTAGTAATATTGTATATTACTTCTATCAGAAAAAAATAATTTTAGAATTAGTATGTTCAATTTTATAATCATGCTTGTATTTTTTTAAATCATGAAGAGCAAACATTGCTGAGAAAATGACACCTATTCTTATGGATGATGGTTTTTTTTTCATTTTTTCACATTTTCAACTTTCATTTAGTGAACATATGTCACTTTTTATCCTAAAAAATTTTTTAAAATCAATTTTACAAGCATGGGATAGGAAAACTCTGTCTTGTTAATAAATGAAGTGAAAAATCTCTGTACCTTTAGTTGTTCATAAGTTGAAAATGAGTAACGTGATATATCTTTAAACACAAACTTCCATGTTAGCTACATTAGTAATGCTTCTTTCCCAGGAACTAATAATCCCCAAGCATATTCCCTTTTCATATCATCTCTGAAATAATCCATGCTATTCTGGGCACCATTTCAACAAGCATGTTGACCAGTTCAAGCTCACCCAGAGGAAAAGACCCAAGGCGAATATTCAGGAAAGAATGTGATATCAGAAACTCTAAGGCATCAAAGTCTGAGGAAAAATATGAAGATATTCTCTAAATACTTTCGAGGCTGGCATTTAAAAGAAAGAGAATGTCTTCTCTGAATTATCAGAAAACGGACTTCTATCAATTGTTAAGAATATCGTTGCCAAATATACATTCAAGAACCAGGAGAATGACAACCATATGGGTTCAGGGAACTGTTTGACCTATTTTGAGGCAAACTGGACAGGATCCAATTTGTTTCTTGAGTCTCAGGAGCCCTTTCTCTGATAGGGGGAAGCAGTGGTAATTGGTCATCCTCGGGAAATAGTATTTCCTCAGAGGCAGCATCCAGTAGTTCCTGAAAGTCTGGGGCATTTTTTCACAGCTATTTAAACCAAGTAAGTAGTACTAGAACCCTTTGGCGAAGGCTTGGAAGAAGGTTCATGTACCTCATTTGTGGTTATTATAGCAGTATTTATCCCTGAAGTAACCTAGTCTCCTTCATTGGAGGGATCTGGGTCTAATGGAACCATTTCTGGGAATTAGGTAAAGGACCATAATTCTGTCGTTGTGGCTCAACAGACCTCTGTTCATTGGGACTCGTATGTGTTCTAAAAATATAGCAAGGCTGTAATGGTATGCCTATTTTTTTTTTTTTTTTTGAGATGGAGTTTCACTCTATCACCCAGGCTGGAGTGCAGTGGCACAATCTCAGCTCACTGCAACCTCTGCCTCCCAGGTTCAAGCGATTCTCCTGCCTCAGCCTACTGAGTAGTTGGGACTACAGGCATGTGCCACCATGCCCAGCTAATTTTTGTATTTTTAGTAGAGATGGGGTTTCACCATGTTTGCCTGGCTGGTCTTGAACTCCTGATCTCAGGTGATTTGCCCACCCTGGCCTCCCAAAGTGCTGGTATTACAGGCATGAGCCACCGCACCCAGCCTATTTCATTTTTTTAAGACCCAGAATTGTGGTGTGTTTTTGGCACATGGAGTTAAATGGAATCAAATACATAGAAAACACATAATATTTCTGAGAGAATTATATTGGCAAAAGTGTCAGCAGCCTGGTCTTAAAAAAGCTGAGGCTGCACATGTATACATATGTAACAAACCTGCACGTTGTGCACATGTACCCTAAAACTTAAAGTATAATAATAATTTTAAAAAATTACTGGCTGACTCTCTTTTTGGACTCAGCCCACCTGCATCCAGGTGAAATAAACAGCTTTATTGCTCACACAAAGCCTGTTTGGTGGTCTCTTCACATGGACGCGCATGAAATTTGGTGCCGTGACTTGGATCGGGGGACCTCCCTTGGGAGATCAATCCCCTGTCCTCCTGTTCTTTGCTCCGTGAGAAAGATCCACCTACGACCTCAGGTCCTCAGACCGACCAGCCCAAGGAACATCTCACCAATTTTAAATCAGGTAAGCGGCCTCTTCTTACTCTCTTTCTCCAACCTCTCTCACTGTCCCTCAACCACTTTCTCCTTTCCACTCTTCATTCTCTCCCTTCTCTTAATTTCAATTCCTTTCATTTTCTGGGAGAGACAAAGGAGACACATTTTACCAGTGGGCCCAAAACTCCGGCGCCAGTCACAGACTGGGAAGGCAGCCTTCCCTTGGTGTTTAATCATTGCAGGGAAGCCTCTCTGATTATTGACCCACGTTTCAAAGGTGTCAGACCACGAAGGGATGCCTGCCTTGGTCCTTCACCCTTAGCGGCAAGTCCCGCTTTTCTGGGGAAGGGGCAAGTACCCCAACCCCTTCTCTCCTTGTCTCTACCCCTTTTCTGCTTTTCTGGGGGAGGGGCAAGTACCCCTCAACCCCTTCTCCTTCACCCTTAGCGGCAAGTCCCGCTTTTCTAGGGGGCAAGATCCCCCAATCCCTTATTTCCATGCCCCAACCTCGTATCTCTGCGCCCCAATCCCTTATTTCTGTGCCCCAACCTCTTATCTCTGTGCCCCAATCCCTTATTTCCATGCCCCGACCCCCCTTCCTGCTTTTCGGGAGGGTAAGAACCCCCAAACCCCTTCCCTCCGTGTCTCTACGCTCTCTTTTCTCTGGGTTTGCCTCCTTCACTATGGGCAACCTTCCACCCTCCATTCCTCCTTCTTCTCCCTTAGCCTGTGTTCTCAAAAACTTAAAACCTCTTCAACTCACACCTGACCTAAAACCTAAATGCCTTATTTTCTTCTGCAATGCCGCTTGACCCCAATACAAACTCGACAGTATTTGTCCAAATAGCCAGAAAATGGCACTTTGAATTTTTCCATCCTGCAAGATCTAAATAATTCTTGTCATAAAATAGGGAAATGGTCTGAGGTGCCTGACGTCCAGGCATTCTTTTACACATCAGTCCCTTCCTAGTCTCTGTGCCCAGTGCAACTTGTCCCAAATCTTCCTTCTTTCCCTCCCACCTGTCCCCTCAGTACCAACCCCAAGCGTCGCTGAGTCTTTCTAATCTTCCTTTTCTACAGACCCATCTGACCTCTCCCTTCCTCCCCAGGCTGCTCCTCTCCAGGCCGAGCTAGGTCCCAATTCTTCCTCAGCCTCTGCTCCTCCACCCTATAATCTTTTTATCACCTCCCCTCCTCACACCTGGTCCGGCTTACAGTTTCGTTCCGTGACTAGCCCTCCCCCACCTGCCCAGCAATTTACTCGTAAAAAGGTGGCTGGAGCCAAAGGCATAGTCAAGGTTAATGCTCCTTTTTCTTTATCCCAAATCAGAAGCGTTTAGGCTCTTTTTCATCGAATATAAAAATCCAGCCCAGTTCATGGCTCGTTTGGCAGCAACCCTGAGACGCTTTACAGCCCTAGACCCTAAAAGGTCAAAAGGCCGTCTTATTCTCAAAATACATTTTATTACCCAATCTGCTCCCGACATCAAATAAAACTCCAAAAATTAAATTCTGGCCCTCAAACCCCACAACAGGACTTAATTAACCTCACCTTCAAGGTGTACAATAACAGAAAAAAGTTGCAATTCCTTGCCTCCACTGTGAGACAAACCCCAGCCACATCTCCAGCACACAAGAACTTCCAAATGCCTGAACTGCAGCGGCCAGGCGTTCCTCCAGAACCTCCTCCCCCAGGAGCTTGCTACAAGTGCTGGAAATCTGGCCACTGGGCCAAGGAATGCCCACAGCCCGGGATTCCTCCTAAGCCGCGTCCCATCTGTGTGGGACCCCACTGAAAATCGGACTGTTCAACTCACCTGGCAGCCACTCCCAGAGCCCCTGGAACTCTGGCCCAAGGCTCTCTGACTGACTCCTTCCCAGATCTTCTCGGCTTAGCGGCTGAAGACTGACACTGCCCAATCGCCTCGGAAGCCCCCTAGACCATCAGGGACGCCGAGCTTCGGGTAACTCTCACAGTGGAAGGTAAGCCCGTCCCCTTCTTAATCAATACTGAGGCTACCCACTCCGCATTACCTTCTTTTCAAGGGCCTGTTTCCCTTGCCTCCATAACTGTTGTGGGTATTGACAGCCAGGCTTCTAAACCTCTTAAAACTCCCCAACTCTGGTGCCAACTTAGACAATACTCTTTTAAGCACTCCTTTTTAGTTATCCCCACCTGCCCAGTTCCCTTATTAGGCTGAGACACTTTAACTAAATTGTCTGCTTCCCTGACTATTCCTAGACTACAGCTATATCTCGTTGCCGCCCTTCTTCCCAATCCAAAGCCTCCTTTTCGTCCTCCTCTTGTATCCCCCCACCTTAACCCACAAGTATAAGATACCTCTACTCCCTCCTTGGCAACCGATCATGCACCCCTTACCATCTCATTAAAACCTAATCACCGTTACCCCAACTCAACGCCAAGATCCCATCCCGCAACACGCTTTAAAAAGATTAAAGCCTGTTATCACTCGCTTGCTGCAGCATGGCCTTTTAAAGCCTATAAACTCTCCTTACAATTCCCCCATTTTACCTGTCCTAAAACCAGACAAGCCTTACAAGTTAGTTCAGGATCTGCACCTTATCAACCAAATTGTTTTGCCTATCCACCCCGTGGTTCCGAACCCATATACTCTCCTATCCTCAATACTTGCCTCTACAACCCATTATTCTGTTCTGGATCTCAAACATGCTTTCTTTACTATTCCTTTGCACCCTTAATCCCAGCCTCTCTTCGCTTTCACTTGGACTGACCCTCACACCCATCAAGCTCAGCAAATTACCTGGGCTGTACTGCCACAAAGCTTCACGGACAGCCCCCATTACTTCAATCAAGCCCAAATTTCTTCCTCATCTGTTACCTATCTCGGCATAATTCTCATAAAAACACACGTGCTCTCCCTGCCAATCGTGTCCGACTGATCTCTCAAACCCCAGCACCTTCTACAAAACAACAACTCCTTTCCTTCCTAGGCATGGTTAGTGCGGTCAGAATTCTTACACAAGAGCCAGGACCGCACCCTGTAGCCTTTCTGTCCAAACAACTCGACCTTACTGTTTTAGCCTAGCCTTCATGTCTGCGTGCGGCGGCTGCCGCTGCTTTAATATGTTAGAGGCCCTAAAAATCACAAACTATGCTCAACTCACTCTCTACATTTCTCATAACTTCCAAAATCTATTTTCTTCCTCATACTTGACACATATACTTTCTGCTCCCCGGCTCCTTCAGCTGTACTCACTCTTTAAGTCCCACAATTACCATTGTTCCTGGCCCGGACTTCAATCTGGCCTCTCACATTATTCCTGATACCACACCTGACCCCCATGACTGTATCTCTCTGATCCACCTGATATTCACCCTATTTCCCCATATTTCCTTCTTTCCTGTTCCTCACCCTGATCATGCTTGATTTATTGATGGCAGTTCCACCAGGCCTAATCGCCACACACCAGCAAAGGTAGGCTATGCTATAGTACAAGCCACTAGCCGGCCTCTGAGAACCTCTCATTTCCTTTCCATCGTGGAAATCTATCCTCAAGGAAATAACTTCTCAGTGTTCCATCTGTTATTCTACTACTCCTCAGGGATTATTCAGGCCCCCTCCCTTCCCTACACATCAAGCTGGAGGATTTGCCCCCACCCAGGACTGGCAAATTAGCTTTACTCAACATGCCCGAGTCAGGAAACTAAAATACCTCTTAGTCTAAATAGACTCTTTCACTGAATAAATAGAGGCCTTTCCTACAGGGTCTGAGAAGGCCATCGCAGTCATTTCTTCCCTTCTGTCAGACATAATTCCTCAGTTTAGCCTTCCCACCTCTATACAGTCTGATAACAGACCAGCCTTTATTAGTCAAATCAGCCAAGCAGTTTTTCAGGCTCTTAGTATTCAGTGAAACCTTTATATCCTTTATGGTCCTCCATCTTCAGGAAAAGTAGAATGGACTAAAGGTCTTTTAAAAACACACCTCACCAAGCTCAGCCACCAACTTAAAAAGGACTGAACAATACTTTTACCACTTTCTCTTCTCAGAATTCAGGCCTGTCCTCAGAATGTTACAAAGTACAGCCCATTTAAGCTCCTGTATAGACACTCATTTTTATTAGGCCCCAGTCTCATTCGACACCAGACCAACTTAGACTGTGCCCCAAAAAAACTTGTCATCCCTACTATCTTTTGTCTAGTCATACTCCTATTCACTATTCTCAAATACTCATACATGCCCCGCTCTTGTTTACACTGCCGGTTTACTGTTTCTCCAAGCCATCACAGCTGATACCTCCTGGTGCTATCCCCAAACTGCCACTCTAAACTCTTGAAGTAAATAAATAATCTTTGCTGGCAGGACTATGCTGAATCTCCTTAGGCACTCTCTAATCAGATGTCCTAGGTCCTCCCAATTCTTAGACCTTTTATACCTGTTTTTCTCCTTCTCTTATTCCATTTAGTTTTTCAATTCATGCAAAACCATATCCAGGCCATCACCAATCATTCTATATGACAAATGTTCCTTCTAACAACCCCACAATATCACCCCTTACCACAAGATCTTCCTCCAGCTTAATCTCTCCCACTCTAGGTTCCCACGCCGCCCCTAATCCTGCTCGAAGCAGCCCTGAGAAACATCGCCCATTCTCTCTCCATACCACCCCCAAAAATTTTCGCCGCCCCAGCACTTCAACACTATTTTCTTTTATTTTTCTTATTAATATAAGAAGGCAGGAATGTCAGGCCTCTGAGCCCAAGCCAAGCCATTGCATCCCCTGTGACTTGGACGTATACGCCCAGATGGCCTGAAGTAACTGAAGAATCACAAAAGAAGTGAAAAGGCCCTGCCCCATCCTTAACTGATGACATTCCACCATTGTGATTTGTTCCTGCCCCACCTTAACTGAGTGATTAACCCTGTGAATTTCCTTCTCCTGGCTCAGAAGCTCCCCCACTGAGCACCTTGTGACACCTGCCCCTGCCCAACAGAGAACAACCCCCTTTGACTGTAATTTTCATTAACTTCCCAAATCCTATAAAACGGCCCCACCCCTATCTCCCTTCACTGACTCTCTTTTTGGACTCAGCCCACCTGCACCCAGGTGAAATAAACAGCTTTATTGCTCACACACACACACACACACACACGCAAAAAAAAAAAAAAAAAAAAAAAAAAAAAAAAAAATTACCTCTGAGTCTTCAGTCTTCCAGAATTAAGAAGCTGGGTAAGGATGGAAAAGTAAGGGACTTCCAGTGTGCAGAACCAAGAGCTTGAAGAATAATAGATTAAGATGCCACTCCTAAAGAAAATAACTAAAACTTAATCATGAAACATTCCTTGCCCCAGGATAGAAGGACCCAGAAATATTTGTACAGCAGGCTTTGGGAACAACTATTGAGCAGTAACTGCTATATGCCTACCACTCTTTCTCTTTCTAATGAAAGTGTTTATTTCTGTTATTGTGCTCTCACGCCACAATTGTATGTTAAGTGTAAACAGTAAAATTGTCTTTATTATTCATAGGTCTCTGACTCAAAGAAAAGCACATCTAGATTTGCTTTATATCACAAGATCCTGGACTTTCTGGCCTGATATTAGGATTAGATGAAGTTGGAGGGAATATAAGCATGTGGATAATCATGATTAATAGGGAAGACTGGTAGATTGAAGTATTTGTCCAAATTCTTCACTTCCCTGAAATGGTATCTGTCATCATACATCACATGGCCTCATGGTAGGTGGAGTTCCCTGTCTTCTCACTGTGAGTTTGGCTAGGTGACTCGCTTTGGCCAATGCGATATTTGATGAGACATGAGCAAAGGCTTGAAATTAACATATGCAGTTGGGCTTTCCCTACATCACTTTTTTGCCATTATTTTAATAAGGATATAACCTGAATAGCTTCTGCCCATCTGGCTTGGCCCCATAATTAAATGCATTGAACAGAACAGCTCCAGCCAATGCAAATCTGCAGCTTGAAGAAGAGCCACTTCAGTCACCCACAGATACATGAGCAAGAAATAAATGCTTATCACTTGCCACTGATATATTGTTTTTGTCACAATAGCTTTTTGCAGCAATAGTTTACTAATATTGGGGTCCTAGTCCTCTAATTCTTTCACAAAAGTTATTTCATGAAAATATGAAATCATATCATGAAGGAATCCATTACTTTGGCAGAAAAAGAAAACACCTAAATTTGTTTTTTTTCTGTTGTTGTTTCTCAGCCTTGAAACTACAAAACATAAGAAATTGTTTCAAAATCAAATAAACTACTGAGTTTCTGCATCAATTGTAGTTCTTTGGTTGTACACAATTACGGCTAACTTAAACAAAAGAGACATTCATTGAAACATTATCAGAAGTTAATGGAATTGACTGGAAGCCTGAAGAACCAAACTAGAAATCAATAGGAACCAAGACAGTTTCTGGAACCTAGAAGGCAAGAAAACCAGGAATGGCCTAATAGAGGAAGGAATCTGGTTAGAATGCTGTGGATGGGAGATGGATAAATTCCAAATATTTTCAGACCTGTTTTTACTTCTTCTGAGGATTCAAATCTCAAGAAGAAAGAATCAAACTGATTCTTTGGCATAAGAGAGAAAAGGACCTGAATAGGAGAGAGCAGGACCCCTGGTTACAGTTTCATCCAGCTAAAAAAAAAAAAAAAAAAAGAGTTAAATCCTGGAAAAAAAAGTCTGGCTGCTGTCAGGAAGGAAAATGTATGTAAAGAAGAAAAGAACTGTCTTCTTTGCTTGGTAAACCTACACATGCCCCTCAGAGAATGGTGCTGAAGTACCTCCCAAAGAACTTCCATTTACCCGTGAGCTTTATCATATGAGTTTACACCTGCTTCTTCCCAAGCCTCACTAAAATGATAACTAAGAAACTGCAAAAGACATAACCCTCAATAATCAAAAAGAGACTGGAGATGACAGCAACAAAATGCTGTTTTGCAAAACAGATGGATGGGTAACCAACTTAGCAGACCAAGGAAAACAGAAACCTAAACTGTAAGTGCAGTAGCCCTAATGCCCAAATTTATACTACAGATTATTAGGAAGCCTCAGGAACTCAAAAACAGTCGAGATTAGAAGGCTGAATAAAGGCTGGTTAAAATGTCTGCACAGAAGCCGTTAGATCCCTGAAGTCAATGAGCTACCGTTACTCTATCTTTAGCGGGAACCAGGAAAAGTTGACCTAGAGCACTCTATACTCAGGGATGACACATGTATCCAAGACCAAGAGTCCTATGAAAACAGGGGCATTGACTAAGACTCCTTCTGTATCCCCACTCCAGGCCCCGTCCTCTCTGAGTTTCCCAGGATGCTGGCAGCCAGCTTACACCTGACAGGCTAAAGACTAGGAGGTCTCTTTCTGAGTATACTGACACATCAGTAGAAGAGACTTACGGGTCGTGGTATTTAGAGATGGCACAGTGAAGTAGCTGAGGCCCCACCCAAATGCTGAAGCCCACCCATCAAAGCTTCATCTGGGAATGCTGTGCTTCTAGATAATGTTTCTTGATTCATTTATGAAAGTGAACAAAGAGCTAAGAAGCACCAGTCATTTTAAAAACCTCTAATGTTAGAAAAATAAACACACAAAAAGCAATCTCGGGAAAGAAAGATATTGCAAAATACACATAATGCATTACCTCAGAGAAATTAGAAAAGATATTGCACCTATAAAATAAGAATAAATAGAACATCACATCATACAAGAAAAAGGAACATCAGAGAATAAAATGTTCTTTAAAATAAGAAATTTGAGAGTAGAAATGAAAATTTTAATGAAAATGTTGAGAGATAGAGAATACCTCCCATGAGTAACACAAAAAGAGAAGAAAAATTACAGAAAGTACACACTTAAAAAAACATAGAGGAGTGGCTGGGCGCTGTGGCTCACACCTGTAATCCCAGCATTTTGGGAGGCCGAGGCGGGCGGATCAGGAGGTCAGGAGTTCAAGACCAGCCTGACCAACATGGTGAAACCCTGTCTCTACTAAAAGTACAAAAATCAGCTGGGCATGGTGGCATGCACCTGTAATTCCAGCTACTCGGGAGGCTGAGGCAGGAGAATCGTTTGAACCCAGTGAGCCAAGATCACACCACTGCACTCCAGCCTGGGCAACAGAGTGAGACGCTGTTTCCAGAAAAAAAAAGAAAAAGAAGAAAGGAAACATAATAATTGGTGATAACAGAATAATCTATGACTCAGCTATGATTAATGTTAACATAGTTATAATCATGTACATAGTGAATATTGCTGTATGCCAAAATTATGATATAATTATTATATGGAGAAAGGAAATACATGTGTGTTTGTCTTGTATGTATTTGCGTTGAAGAGAAGAGGTCTAAAAAAACCAAATGCTCCTCTTCCACAGTAAAATGACGAGAAATAATACATGTATAAAACTGAAAAAAATTAGCTAGATTGACTGGTTTTTAAATAAAATGCAGAGATGCAGCTCAAACAGTTAAATTGAGAAGTCAGAAGTGGGGAATGGCAGGATAGGGCTGATGACTTCTTTTCAATCTTACCTAATTATTTTTTAATTTTGATAAAAATTTAACAGTCAACTAAAAAAGAAGTGTATTTTCTTGCCCAGAGCTTGAGGATGAAGTAGGGTATGTAGTAATATTCAGGAGAGGGGCTTACAAAGAATCACCCAGCTAGCAGCAAGGCGAGGTGTCCAACAGAACTGTGCCTCCTCAAGCTCTTCCTGTGGAATGAGGCCAGCTGTGGAAATCCTCATGGAGTGCAAAGGGCAGAGAGATTCCTCAGATGAGAAAACAGAAAGGAATGAGCAGATGCTGCCCTGCAGCCAATAGCTCTATTAGGAAACTTTCTCTAAGTATCTTGGAATCAGTAACAAGATTGAATTTTAGATTCAAGCATACATAGCAGTCTTTTAATTTAAGAGACATAACCCTGAAGATTGATCCTGAGGATGGATGCAGAGGATCGGCCATCAGGGGGAAGAATGCAGACTGCAGACTGCTGTCGTTCTGTGTGTCAAGATAAATAAGAAGATAATAGGCCGGGCACGGTGGCTCACGCCTGTAGTCTCAACACTCTGGGAGGTCAAGGCGGGAGGATCACTTGAGCCCAGGAGTTCAAGACCAGCCTGGGCAACATAGGGAGACCCTTGTCTCTACATAAAAATAAAAAATAAAAAAATAGCTCTTCCCTTTTGTGGCCATCACCAAAGCGGCAGTGGCCAAAGTGGAGTTCAATCCCTTTGTGACTTCTGATCGAAGCAAGTACCACAAAAGGCATTTCAATGCACTTTCCCACATTCTCAGAAATATTAGGTCTTCCTCTCTTTGCAAAGAGCTGAGACAGAAGTACAATGTTCAATCCATGACCATCCGAAAGGATGATGAAGTTCAGGTTGTACACAGGCACTACAAAGGTCAGCAAATTGGCAAAGTAGTCCAGGTTTACAGGAAGAAATATGTCACCTACATTGCACAGGTGCAGCAGGAAAAGGCTAATGGCACAACTGTCCACATAGGCATTCACCCCAGCAAGGTGGTTAGCACTAGGCTAAAACTGGACAAAGACTGCAAAAAGATTCTTGAACGGAAAGCCAAATCTTAGCAAGTAGGAAGGGAAAGGGGCAAATACAAGGAAGAAACAATTGGATAAAGGAATAAAGGAATCTTGTATACAAGCTTTCATCAAAACTTGAAAAAAAAAAAAATAGCCAGGCACGGTGACATGCCTGTGGGCCCAGCTACTGGGGAGACTGAGGCAGGAGGACTGCTTGAGCCTGGGACATTGAGGCTACAGTGAGCTGTGATCATGCCACTGCACTGCACAGCCTGGGTGACATAGTGAGACTGTGTCTCAAAAAAAAAAAAAGAAGAGGAAGAAGAAGATAATAATAACACATGGTGTTTAGACCTGCTCTGTGCCTTGCATTGTACTCACCACTGCACAGAATTATAGCCCTATATAAGCTGTGTTATAAATTCATAACCCTATAAAAATAAATTGTAGAGAAGATTGGTTGAGCACTCACCGTGTCTCAGGCATTATGCCAATATTCCATTAAATCTTCACAACAACTCTCTGGTGGAGGTATAATTGCTATTATCCTATTTTATAGATGGGGATACTGAAAAACAGAAAAGTTCAAATTTGCCCAAACTCCCATAGCTAATAAATGGCCAAGCCAGGACTCAAAGTGTCTAGTTCCAAAGCCTGTGCATAGACTCCTCATGTACAACACTAGCTTATCGCAACAGATGACAGAACTTGGGCTTAGAGGATTGAAGTAACAAAGCCAAGGGTTCACAGCCACCAGGGAGTAGAACCAGTACTCAAATCCAACCTTCTCTGAACCTGAAGTACACCCTACATTTGTCTATCATACTGCCTCCATAATAGAGGAAAAGTCTAATTCCAATAGAATAAGAAAAGTAAGCCATCCTTTGTGTTAGGAGTAATACTCAGTGATAACGAATACACTGATCAGTGGCATAAAAGGGTATCAGGAGTATAGAGATAGAGAGAACAGAGGTTAACAAATAACCACCCCCAAACCATGGGAGTGTGGATGATGGGATGGGTGACCTGCATTTTCTAGCCACTTCTCAACGCTGGCAACTGCAGCATAGCAGTACAGGGGCTGGACTCTGAGGCCAATGACACTGCCTGCAAGTCCTGGCTCTGCTGCTTACTAGTTATGTAAGCTTGGGCAAATTACTTTGCTTTTCTGGGTTTGAGTTTCTTCGTCTGAAAAATGCTAACGATAACGGGGTTGTTAGAGGAATAAGTGATTTAGTCATTGTAAGTTGCTGTAAGAACAGCTTGTATTAAATAATTCCTGACCCACACACTAAGTGCTAGCATTGATTATAAAATAATTGTGTTTTATATTAATTAAGGACTTCCTGAAATATGCTCTGCTCCCAATTCTGTGGCTAATTCTTGCTGTGTATTCACCTGCTTAGCCTTGACAGGAGGCTTGCTTTTGTTTCTGTTCTGCTCTTGGCATTCTAAGCCTCAGGAATTTATGTCTTTGTCTTCCGCCCCAGACCTACTGATTTGGATTTCTTACCTCATTTTGAGCAACCTGTGGCCCACGGCCTCATGCCTCAGATTCCCAATGAGTAGATCCCTAATAATTGCTCTCAGAAGTCCTTGTTACAAACCACTTGCCACTTTGACCCTTCCTTCCCTCCTCCATAGTAGTTCAGCTCCATGGATTCTGGCATGTCTGTTGGCATGAACTAGAGTGATTTTTTACTCACTGCCTCCTTACTCTGGGACTAAACTCTGGATCTGACATTTATATTTTAGGTTTGCACCTCTATTGATTTATCCCTCATAGTAGAACTAAAACTGGTACAGCCCTTTACAATTTACAAAGCAACTCCACAGACATTACGAAATTCAACCTTGACAACAATCCTTTGAGGCAGGCATTTTTATTGTTCCTAAATATATAAGGAGGTTCAGGCAAGATAAATAATTTGACCACAACTACAAAGAATTACTGACAGAGATAAAACTAGAAATCAAGTCTTCTGACTACACACACTGTATTCTTTTGTAACTCCAATCTGCCCATAAGGTTTGCACACTCTTCATACCAGCCCTCCACCACCCAAAGCGCAGCTATACAAATTCCCAAGCTGATATGCCCCGCCTTGACTCTCACCTCAACTTTTGTACCTACATTAGCAGCTCTTGTACATAATCACCTCCACAGCCACATGAAGCTCAGCATCCCTTATAGCTCACTAGCACTGTCTATGTGTATGGGTCCATTTCCATCAATGGTCTCAAGTGTTTCCTTGACTCAACACCTCAGAATAACATTTGACTCCTGCCTCGCCCTCACCCATCACATTCAGTTATCTATTGAAGCTGAAGATCCTTCCTTTGTGTTGCCTCCCATATGTTTCTTCTTCTTTCCGGTCACGCACCCACTGCTCCAATTCAGGTCCTCATCACTTCACCCTTGAACTATTACCATAGTCTTCTCCTTGTGTTCATTTTCTCCCTTTTCATTTCATCTGAAAGCTACACCAAATTAATCTTGGTAACATGCCACTTCATCTCTCACTGAAAAGCTTTCTGTGGTTCTGCACATCCTTTAGGATAAGCTCTCAATTTCTTAACATGCTGTTTCCTAAACCATGTGCTGAGAAACACTAGACTCCCTGAATATTAATAGAAGCTTCATTTAAAAAAAAGAAAAGGAAAGAAATGCTACCTGCTATCACCACTTCTCCATGTACATGCACATTCACTAAGAAACTGAATATATTATCAAGACATTGGAAGTTTTCTTAAGCCAACGTTTTCAAAATGTGTTGGACCACAGAACACTTTCTTCAGTGAAAACTTAGGAATATTCGCTTGGCATTAACATTCCACAAAACGGTTTAAGATATTCACCCCTTCACCTCCTTGTCCCTTTCTAAACTTAGCTTCTGCTACTACCTTACACAAATCATTCCTGTCTTTACATTGGTTGCTAAGTAAATTGAACTAAGTCCTACCTTTAAGTTTGACACCACCCTTCTCTGACCACCCGAGGCATAAAGTGTCCCAAATTCAACTCACAGCAGTGTGGACCACATGTCCCAGTTTTTCTACATGGTCCTGGTTTTATGTAATTTGCCCTTCTTAATAAAGATGATTAAAACATAGCATGAAATGAACTTTTTATTTTGAGAGATTTATTTTTATTTAAAAATTTTTTATTGAGTTACAATTGACAAAAAAATGTATAAGTTTAAGCTGTACAATGTGACAATTTTATGTACATATAAAGTGAAGTAATTACCACAATTAAGCTTGGTGCATCCATCACTGATTGTAATAAGTTGCACATTAGAAAACAAATCTTTTCCTGAATTACATATCCCAATTTCCAATTTATATAGTTGGCTTGCTGTCATTGAGCACACCTATTTTTTGTATTGCTAATTTGAGGCACTCTATGTAGTACTACATTGTTAATTCTGTTTTATGTCTTTTCATATCTCTCCTAGTAGGTTAGTCTATTTTTCTCTAGTACTTATTTATCTCTCAGAGTTAGAATTTACATTGATTATAATAATGGTTCTGTGGCTACCTATTACAGACATTCAAATGGCAAAGTCCTTTTTACCCAAAATAAAAATTTCAGTTTTAAAGAGCAAGCTGACTGCCTAAGAAATGAAAACCCTGCTTTAATTTAAGGAATAAGGTCTAGTCCTTGGGCATCTCAAAGCCACAAA
Organism: Homo sapiens; assembly: GCF_000001405.40. NCBI lineage: Eukaryota > Metazoa > Chordata > Mammalia > Primates > Hominidae > Homo > Homo sapiens. The sequence continues at coordinate 143,800,311 of NC_000007.14, forward strand.
ACTTAAAGGAAACCAAAAGCACTAGTACCAAAGTCCCTACTCTATCCACTTCCAGAGCCCTCTGGGCTTTCAGCTACTGCTTCTTTTAAAAACATACAGTGCTTCAATATAAAACAAGTGTGGGTACTAAATTATTTGTGGGTGAAATAATAGGATACTTTGGATTTGTCTTAAAACATTGCAGCAAAAATAAAAACACCAAAGGGCAGTGGAGCAAACACAGATTAAACATAACTGAAAAAATGTTGATAGGTATTGAATTGGATAATAAATACATGAGGGCTCAGCTCAGTATACTATGTTTGTATATGTTTGAAAATGTCTATAATAAAAAGCTCTAAAAATGTATAGGTGACCGATGTTTATTAAACCGGGAGGATGATGATGGCCCAAGTGCTTTTCCCATCAGCTCTGTACCCCTATGAGGTTCTACTCATTTCACTGCCAGTGGTCAGCTCAACCCAGCTCCTCACTTAATCCCACAGTCACCCAGCCTGCTTTCACTACCCCCAGGCCTCTGAGCAAAAACAACCAAGGAGTAACTTCCATCAAGAGAAGGTAAGTAAATGGAGCTAGGTCTCTTTCGCTTTATCTTTTTTCCTGTTTTTGTTTGTTTGTTTTTTATTTTTGTTTTGAGACAGAGTCTTGCTCTGTCACCCACGCTGGTGTGCAGTGGTACAATCTTGGCTCACTGCAATGTCTGCCTCCCAGATTCAAGCAATTCTCGTGCCTCAGCCTCCTGAGTAGCTGAGACTACAGGCACACAACACCATGCCCAGCTGATCTTTGTATCTTTAGTAAAAACGGGGTTTAACCATGTTGGCCAAGCTGGTCTCAAACTCCTGACTTCATGTGATCCACCCACCACAGCATCCCAAAGTGCTGGGATTACAGGCATGAGCCACCGTGCCTGGCCTTTTTTTCCTGTTTTCTATCTGTTCTTCTGTCCACCAACCTATCTCCCTCCCTGTCAGCCCACCCAACTGCCCACCTGCACATCTGCTGCCCTTCCTTGCTCCAGCTCCATCAGTTTTTGAACTAGCCAAAACTCTTTGGCCAACTCTGCCCAGATCTTCATAATATTTCACCTAAAACTAGTGCAGGTATCTCAGCTATCCATCAGTTTTTGTCAACTCTTTGACTAATATTAATAATATTTCTCTTAAAATCTTTGTTATTAATTGATGCCAGGAAAACAAATCTTCTGCTTTTCTCTGCCTTCTTGTGTCCTTTTGACTCTTTCTGACAATGTAAATCCTGACTCCACTGCTGCCCCATTCCGAACCTTCTGTGCATGGTCTACTTCCAAGATCCTTCAGATGGTGCCTCATGATACACAACGTCTGGCCTTAAAGAGGCAGGGGAGCATGTAATAGAAATGAACTTCTCCTATCATAAAAGCCAAAGAAGAAAGAGATTCAAGGATACAGTGATCAAAGGGGCAAAATGCATTAGAAAAACCTATAGAGATTAAGTAGCTAGAAGAAGACTTTGATAACTAGGAAATTATTACCAATGATTAGTTCAGAAAGAATAGAAATGGATTCCAAGTGCATGTAATTCAGTCAAGAAGAAGGCGTAGATAACATGCCTAACGATAAGCACAATGATAGGCAGGAGAAAAATATGAAAGAATCTTTTACAGAAAAACATTCAGACCTGGGGGTTTTCAAGACAAATTAGACGTAGGCATATTGAAAGGCCAAAAAAGGAGCCAGTGGAAGAGACTGAAGAATCTAGAAGTCAGAAGGCAACAAAACAGGGCCTTGGAAGTGACAGAAAAGACAGAGGATGAAAATACATGTCAAGGTGTTGGTCTTGGACAGGGTGAGCAGACCTCTTTTGTGAGATTAAAAGGTGTTACTTTATAAGGAAATCAATTTTGAAAAAAGCTAGAGATTACTTTTTGAATGGTTTCAATGTTCTCAGTAAAAATATATTAAATTATATGAGATGATACGTGTAAAATACTTGGCACAAGGCTTGACATATAATAAATGTTCACCATGTGGTGGTCCTAGGAGACTTAACAGTAGTGTAGTAGCATTGATAAGAACAGCAGTGAACATTTACTGAGTGTTTACTATGTTCCAGGAGCTTTCCTAAGCTATTGTAGTGGTAGTGGTAGTGGTAGAGGGAGAAGGAGCAGGAGCAGTAATAATAAATAAAAAACATCTGTCTGAGAATAAAGTGAGCAGGATTAGGCTTGAGAAAAGCAGAAGGTTGATTGGCAGAGATATAGAGATTTCATCAGCAACTGAGCAGACAATTATTAAGCATGTATAGGAACCCACGTGAACTTTGGCCAGGCACTGGTAATCAAAAAAGTTGCTAAGTGTCTGATCAGAAGCAAAGCTAATGGAGTGGCTGAAATTATAATAAATGGGCAGTCTTACTATATAAACAAGGGTTTATAGTTAAAAGGTTCAGGAGATATCTTAGAGGATTAGTGACAATTGGTCATGGGGCTTAAGGATCTCCTTGCTACTAGCTAAGCAGAGGAATAGAAATAGTAAAGAATGGGAAGCATGGTTAGCATATTATAACATAAATGCTGAAGTCACTGAAAATGTACCAGAAGACAGATGGACAGGAAAATTGACAACAAGTTTCCATAAATGAAGTATTACTTCATTTAGGAAACTGATTATGTGACTGCAAGTAGATCAAAAATATTGTCTGCATCCCTATATTGCCCAGCCTTTATTACCAGAAATCATCAAAGATGGTAAAAGTAATCTTAGAAATTTATAGACAATGGTAACAAGACTTTCTGATATCAACTCGTGATACCATAGACCTCAAATGAGAAAAATGGATAATAAGAGAAGGAACAATCATTAGAATGGTATTAGTTATCAATAAGCAATTATGAATTATGAATGGTATTAGTTATCAATAAGCAATAAATGAATTGATAGAATGAATTCATAGAATGAATGAATTCACAGAATGAATGAATTGATGTAAGAAAATGTGCAGCACACTAAATGTGAATGGAAATTATATACATGAGACTCACACTGACCCAAATCGTTTGTAGCTCCTAATAGTTCTATTTTTTAATTTTATTTACTAATTTTGAAGGTTACTGCAAATTTTATTTTTATTTTAGAGGCAAAAAAACTAACTTTACAACAATCAGCTTATAGTAGAATATTATCAGTGATGCAGGATTGCTCTTTTTATATCCTTATATTTGGTAGTATTATAATAACATTACATGCAGGTACTCACTCTTGTGTTTTTAACATACTTGGCATTTTGCTACATTTCTTCTTCTAACTTGTTTTACTTATCATCATATTTTTGAGATTTATTAATGTAGATGTACTTAAATGTAGTTTATTACTTCTAACTACTGCATGGTACTCCACTACTTGCATATTTCACATTTTGATTATTCATTTCTCACTAATGGGCATTCGAGTTATTTCCAACTCTTTGTTGGTTCAAACTGTGCTGCAGTAAGTAAACTTCTGAGAACTTATCTTTAATATATCTCCAGAAGAGTAACTGAGGGGTGTATACTCAGTAATGAAACTGCAAAGCCATAGAATATGAATATATGTAATTTCACTAGTATTATTAAATTATTCTCCAGAATAACAACATTAATTTATCCCTCCACTCTCAGTAGAGAAGAGTTCTTGTTTCTCTACAACCTCACCAACACTTACGCTTTCCAGCATTTTAATTTTTGCCAATGCAATGATTATAAATGGGTTTCTCATTTGTTCCTGCTGGATTCATTTAATATTTTACTTAGCACCTTTTAAGCACCAAGTGTGATGCTCAAATGTGTTAAACCACCTGGCTGAAGTTGGTAATGTAGCCTCAAAGTCACGTTTGGTAAATAGTTCAAAAAGTGTCACATATGTTTATTAGTGAATTTAAGAAAACAAGGGAAAAAAACTCCAATGGGTTGCAATTTCCAGCAAATTGTAACTAATAACTGTGAAAAATATTTCTGCTCAGAGGATCATGAGAAGGAACGTGGAACCAATGCAAGATAGATGTGTGAGCCAACACACGTAGCTAGCTTCATGTAAGCCCAGCATACTCTCCAATGTGTCTTCTTAGAGTCACACCTGAACTGACTACTGATTTTCACTTAAATCTGTTGAGAAAAAGGCAATTTTGCTTTTGTTTCTTAGCAACAGATAGCTTGATCCTGAAAGTCTAATGGTAAGACGTGGTTAAAATGAAGAAGAAAGAGATTGCATGGTAATTTAAATGCTACTCTCTACCTAAAAGCAATGCTGAGAAGACTCTCTTCAAAGACTTGTCCGTTCAAATTCCTCTTGTTAAACAGTTTAATTGCATCCTGTGTCTAATTTTTAAATTAATTAGTGATTTTCCTTATATAGCTCTAGAATTTTTGTCATTAATGATGTAAATATCACTTCCTGGACTATTATTTTGACTTATGCTGTCCTGTGTTAGCCAAACTATTTATTTTTATAGTCAAATCCATCAATTTCTCTTGAAAAGTCCTATGTATTTTATATCTTCTTGGTATATCTGGAGCATTTAACTGATTATTTCTCATATAATTAGCCTACTTTCCATAGAACATTTATTTTAAACTTAAAACATTTTCCGCTGATTTACGATGCCATCACCATCATTTACCAAGTTCATGTAGAGATATCAGTCTGTTTCTGGACTGTCGATCTTGTACTGTATATCTACTTATTCTTATACAAAAATGAATGTATTTTACTAATTGTTGCTCTGCAGTATTTGTTAATATCTAGAAGGATTAGTCATCCTTTCTTCTCTCCACCTTAATTCAAAAGTTAAAATCTGTGTTAACTATTTTAGGACCTTTATTTCTCTCTATATATTTTAAATCAATATGGAATTTTTCCCATGATTCTTCTTGTAATTATTATTGGAAATGCATTAAATATATTCCAAACTTAGAAAAACCGATGTATTTACAAGATAAAGTCTCCCCATTCATGAACATAGTGTATTTCTCCATTTATTTGAACTTTCTTTCTTGTGCTTTACTAGGGCTTTATAATTTTTTTATAAATCCTATGCATTAAAAAAATTCATTTCTATATATTTTATGAGTGTGTTGCTTCTTTTTATTATGGTTTCTAATATAATATTGTTGATATAGAGAAAACTTATTTACTTTTATATGTTGATCTTATGTTAGAAAATTTTGCTGAACTTTCTTATTGGTGTGACTAGTTTGCCATTAATACTCTTGCATTTTAAATGTAAATGATCATATCATCAGCAAATAATTACAATGTATTATTTATAACAATTATTTTCTTTTTCACTGTATTGACTAAAATTGTTAGCACACTGTGCTGACAGGTATCACTTATACAAAGCATATATATCTAGTTCCTGACTTGAAAATAAGTGCCTCAGATTTATCCATTAAACATGAAATTTGTTGTGGAATATTTGTACATAGGGTTTATTAGATTATAAAATTCCTGTGTATTTCTAGCTTTCTAATAATTTTCATCTTTTTTTCATGTATATTGAGATGACTCTGTTTTAGATTTTCTGGAGTTGAACTATCTTTCTATTCCTGAGAAAATTGTAAAAATGTGTTGCTTTTTAAAATGTTGAACTTGGATAATATTTTTAAATGCTTTTATCTATAAAATTAGTGTATGCATTTTCTAAATTATGCAAATTTTATAAAATGAGTTGTTAATGTTTTCTTTTTTTTCATTTTCTGAAAAAACTTACATAATATTTGGGAATCATGTCTCTCTTGAAACGTTGGTAAAATCTACCCGTAAAATTATTTTACATGGGAGTAGTGAAGAGGGCAGAGATATTATTTTTTCATAGCCATTCAAAGCCATTAATGATTGTTATTGTAAGTTTTCTGCTTTTTAGGGGGTCAATTCGGCTTTTATCTTCAGATATGTGCCTATTTTATCCACCAATACTTTTTAATAATATTCTTTTATTATTTTTAATCTCTACTAGACCTATTTTAATTTCTACCTTTTCATTTTTTATTCATTTGTATCTTTTCACTTTTTTGCTCATTGAAAATTCCAGAAATTTATCCACCTTCTTAGAATTTTCAAAAAAAAAAAAACTTATGGTTTTTGGTAACAATCTCTTTTTTGTTTCTTTTCTATGCTGTTTATTTCCTATGTATTATTTATTTTTAATAATTTAGGTTTACCCTATTGCTTTTTTCCATCATCTATATTTCTATAAATTTGTTTTAAAACATTATGCAAACCCTCAAAAGAAATTAACTTTTCCTCCTTAGGTTCATAGATAGTCATCAGATTCGTAATTTAACCAACCTCTTCTCAGCTGGAGTCAGAGAAAAGCAGTATCTTTTCTCTCTAGAAACAGGCATCCCACCAGTCAATCTACAGTCTGGTGACAAATGGCTAAGAAATGTGGAGATGAGGTAAGCATTTCCAGTCTCTGTTCAAACACAGATCCCACAGGACTCTAAGTTTGAGGAAACTCACAGCAAGAGGAGACAGAAGTACCACCAATCAAGAATCCCAGTCCCAAATAGAGAATTCCATTTGTTGACAGAACTCTTCAACTAAAGCCAGGCTCCAGCCAAAGAAAACATGAAGAAGAAAACGTCAAACTCTTGGCACTGGTAAACTTTACTTTAGTGCAGGGCTTATACACCCTGAAAATTATGTCCAAGATCCTCCTGGCACTGTTTCCAAAATTCTGAACCATGACTACACTGCTGTTTGCGAATAATATCATCACATTCGTGACTCTTAATCGCCACGGAGGCCTGTCCAGCCCGAATCTTTTCTCAGCTGGTTTTCACTTTACCGGGAGACTATGCGCAGAAAAAGAATGAGAAGGAGAAGGAACTCTAAGTCCTGAAAGCTCAGTCCCAGGAAAAGTTGAGAGGGACTTCTAGATTGGAAATTGTGTTGATCATGGCTGTACAATATAATAGGTGATATTGGTGTGGTGCTTTAAGATTAACAAAATGTTTTCATGAATAGATCTCATTTAAAATCTCAAAACAATCTGCCAATTAGACACAGTGGGTATTAATATTCCGATATTTTAGTCATGTGATCTAGGTGAGGTAAATTCTTTCTGAAAGTATACATAGCCAAAAAAAAGCTGCCCAAATGAGTACCATTCAACCCTCCCCATTACCTTTAGCATAAGAGTTGTGTAGGGACTGACATAATTGTTTGTTATCAATAGGGGAAGTCACTCTACTATATCATAGAATCCTTATCCATGTAAATATTCTACAATGCTGTACATGTGCGAAGTGGGAGATAGGCAGAACACAAGCCTGTGGTTTGCTCAGCGGAAAAATGGAGACCACAGACTCTCCCAGGGTCTCTGTTTCTGGTTTTGTCTCATGTTTCCAAACTCAAGCACCTTGGAGCACCTGTAGTCCCAGCTTCTCGGGAGGCTGAGGCAGTAGAATTGCTTGAACCCGGTAGGTGGAGGTTGCAGTGAGCTGAGATTGTGCCACTGCACTCTAGCCTGGCGACAGAGCGAAACTCCATCTCATCTTTCATGAACTGTTTGAGAATATACTTTAAAAATATTTTCTGTTTTTTGCTTTTCTGTTTATCCTTAGAAATTACTCATATATTCTGAATTCTAATTTTGTATCTGTTCAGTCTGTTACAAATATTTGTCTCTCAGTGACCTCACCTTCTTTAACTTTATTTATGCTGCCTTTATGCTAAGAAGTTGTTGGTTTTTTTCTTTAATTCTATGTGGTTCTTGCAGCTTTTGTCAACCATTCTAGTCACTTCCTAGATTCCCAATGCTACTGTAGTTTGTGTGTGTGGGCATGTGGATGAATATATGCAGTCATTTTAATTAGCTGTGGAGAGGATATCTGCAAGTAACTGCAGCTTTCCATATTGAAGTTTTACTACCATTAGCTGAGGCTTTGCCAGGTGCCTGTGAGAAGATGCTAAGAACACTTCGAGTGGAATTTTTCATTATTAAGTCTTGTAGCTCAATGTCATTAACTCCCCAAAATATCTTGAGTTCCAACAGGTAACAAAAAGCCACAGGCAGAACTGATACCTGAACTCTATGACATTTGCCATGTGAGTCTGAAAATGGGATGACAAAACTAAGACATGCCATCTCCTCATTTTCATGCTGAAAAGAAATTAAAGAGAATCTGCACAAGAGTTACATTTTTCAATAATGTTTTACTACTGGAATAAATAAACTATACTTTTTAAAAAATATAACATTTAATTTTTAATTATAAGAGAAATAGATGTTAATTTTAAAATTCGAGAGAATAAAGTTTTATAAAGATAATTAAAATGACCTAAAATCCCACCAGCCAAGACGACCACTGAAGACATTTTTTTTAAACAAAGATATTTTGATAAATATGCTTTAGGTTCTGCTTCTATGTCTGGTTTCATGGTTTTTTATTTTTTTTACCCCAAAATTTGGCTTATTTAGAGCATGGTATCCTGGAATCTAATTTTAAAACTTTTTCCATTAAGCATTTTTCAAGTTACCTAATAATTATTTTAATCACTATATGGTTTGCAATCTATTGTTAACCATAATTTATTTAACCAACCTCCTATTGCTTGACATTTACAGTATATACAAATTGTTTTAAAAAAATTCTTGAAATACAAAGCCTTTTCTTGATTCATTACATTTTGACCATTCCTTAAGAAGAAGAAGTGAATACTCTAACCAGATCTAAGTGAAGTTTTAAAAACAGTGTGTGTTTGTATAAATCTTCAAGCGTAGTGTTAAACAATTTAATTGTGATGTGTTCCTAGATCAGAACTACCCTACGGAGAGTCCAGATTTGGTGTTTTTACAGCCTTCCTTTGCAGAAAGTTAGATCGAGAAATTCATAAGCAGTACCACATTCTCTGGGCATAATAAACTAGTTTTTCTAACTTGTTTATATGTTTAATTATTTTAAAAGTCAAGAAACTGAAGCCAAAATATTCAACACATAGTTGACTAAATGGGAGGAATTCCTGGAGGTGTTCATTTAGAAAATGTGGATTTTAAGATATGCAAGTAAGGGCACTACCTCTATAGCGTTTCCTCAAATCTATGACAAATTGATTGTGAGAAATGCCATTATTTTATGTATCACTAAGAAAGACCAGGCCGGGCATGGTGGCTTACACCTGTAGTCCCAGCACTTTGGGAGGCTGAGGCTGGCGGATCACAAGGTCAAGAGATCCAGACCATCCTGGCCAGCATGGTGAAACCCCGTCTCTACTAAAAATACAAAAATTAGCTGGGTGTGGTGGCACGCACCTGTAGTCCCAGCTTCTCGGGAGGCTGAGGCAGTAGAATTGCTTGAACCCGGTAGGTGGAGGTTGCAGTGAGCCGAGATTGTGCCACTGCACTCTAGCCTGGCGACAGAGCGAAACTCCATCTCAAATAAAAAAAGAAAGAAAGAAAGAAAAGAAAGAAAGAAAGACTAAACGTTGCCAATTAAATGATAATATGCCATCAGTTGTAAAAACAGTGAAAAAATATGCCTTAAACATGATAAAAATAAATGATATTAGCATGCTAAAATCCTAATATTAGTAAGAATGTGAAGATTGACATGAACCGTGCAATCTTCTTACCTGCACATAGATTTCTCTACTCAATGAGTTCGATTCAGTGGCTCATTAACTGACTGTAGCCTCATTGTTTCTCCTGTCTCTTCCAGGTATGGGGAGGATGTCAGGCAGGACCAGCAGCAGCTCCTGGAGGGGATCTCAGAGCTGGACATCAGGACAGGGAGAGTCCCCTCACAGCTGCTTGTACATGGAGCCCTGGCCTTCCCTCTGGGGCTGGATGCCTCACTCAACTGCTTCCTGGCGGCTGCTCACTATGGCCGGGGCCGGGTGGTCCTGGCTGCCCACGAGTGCCTGCTCTGTGCTCCCAAGATGGGGCCCTTCTTGCTCAATGCGGTGCGCTGGCTGGCCAGAGGCCAGACAGGCAAAGTTGGGGTGAACACAAATCTAAAAGATCTGTGTCCTCTCCTATCGGAGCATGGCCTGCAATGCAGCCTGGAGCCCCATCTGAACAGCGACTTGTGTGTCTACTGCTGCAAGGCATACAGTGACAAGGAGGCTAAGCAGCTGCAGGAGTTTGTGGCTGAGGGTGGGGGGCTGCTGATTGGGGGCCAGGCCTGGTGGTGGGCCTCCCAGAACCCTGGCCACTGCCCCTTGGCTGGCTTCCCTGGTAACATCATCCTCAACTGCTTTGGCCTCAGCATCCTGCCTCAGACTCTCAAAGCAGGCTGCTTCCCCGTTCCCACCCCTGAGATGAGAAGCTACCACTTCCGCAAGGCGCTCTCTCAATTCCAGGCTATACTGAACCACGAGAATGGGAACTTGGAAAAGAGCTGTCTGGCAAAGTTGAGAGTTGATGGTGCAGCCTTCCTACAGATTCCTGCGGAGGGGGTCCCTGCTTACATATCCCTGCACAGGCTCCTGAGGAAGATGCTACGAGGGTCTGGCCTCCCAGCTGTGAGCCGGGAAAATCCAGTTGCCAGTGACTCCTATGAGGCTGCGGTGCTCTCCCTGGCCACTGGGCTGGCTCACTCTGGAACTGACTGCTCCCAGCTGGCCCAGGGGCTTGGCACCTGGACCTGCTCCTCCAGTTTGTACCCCTCAAAACACCCCATCACCGTGGAGATCAATGGAATCAACCCAGGTATGAAAACAGGAGAGAGTGCCCAGAACATTAAAGATGTAGGGGAAAGTGGGATTGGCTGACACTACACAGGACATTGCAGGTACCTACCCTCAGGAAGATTGACCCCATTCTTTTTTTTTTTTGAGACAGAGTCTCACTCTGTCATCCAGGTTGGAATGCAGTAGCGCGATCTCAGCTCATGCAACCTCCACCTCCTGGGTTTAAGCAATTCTCCTCTCTCAGCCTCCTGTGTTGCTGGGACTACAGGCACACGCCACCATGCCTGGCTAATTTTTGTATTTTTAGTAGAGAGGGAGTTTCACCGTAAAGGTAAGGCTGGTCCGGAACTCCTGACCTCAGGTGATCCACCTGCCTTGGCCTCCCAAAGTGCTGGGATTACAGTCGTGAGCCACTGGGCCCAGCTGACTCCATTCTTCATCAGGTACTTTCAAGAAGATGGGGATTGGGACACTGCTTAAGGTTTAGAGGGGATGAGTCTAAGAAGTATGGATGACTTGAGATACACAGGGGAGAAGCTGTACCACTGGGAGGGGCTGGGAGGCCCCAAGTGGAGATATACTCACATAGGAAGGAAGAACTGAGCCTTCTCTGTGACTTTTGTCAGGCAACAATGATTGCTGGGTGAGTACCGGGCTCTACCTCCTGGAAGGACAAAATGCAGAAGTCTCACTGTCTGAAGCTGCTGCCTCTGCTGGCCTGAGGGTAAGGTCTGAACACCCACATCTGCCACCTCTCAAAACCGTAGAGCTGTGTCATTCTCATCCACTGTCTAGTTCCAGCTCATGGCAATGCTGCCAGGAGTACAGAGATGGATTATTCTGCCCATTTTACAGATTTTACAGATGAAGCAGCTAAATTTCAGGGCATCTAAGTGAGTGACTGAAGTGCCTAGTGTTATCAAGCAAGAGAAGCTCACTGCAGAATGGACTAGAAGCCAAAACTATGACACTTGAGTTTTTCACCAAAAAAAAAACAAAAACAAAAACAAAAGAAAACATTTTATTGCAATTTGATTAACAAGGAGACAGGAGCCCAGCTCAAATCTGTCCCATTGTACTTATTTTAAAGAGTTATTTTAGTAGAAAAGGTGTAGGGAGTGGATTCTGTGATTAGTAGGTGATTGATAGAAAGAAAAGGAAGGGCTGGAAAATCCTCGGGCATGGGCAGTTACCTCTTCATGCCTCCTCATGGGTCCCATGTGCAAACTCAGAGGGAGTTAGTATGAAACATGCGGTACAAATTTAGGCTGTGTGTCAGCAAGCTCATTCTGCACAAACTCTGGTTTTATCTCTTTATCTTGACACCTGAAGGGTGTGCATAATCCCATCACTCCCCAAAATATGCCCTACATGCAGAATTTAAATTCATCCTGCCTCCTTGACTCTGAGGGCCACTTCCTACCACAGCTAGGGTCCCTTTTCTGTCAGCATTCTTTCTGGAGCTTGCTTATATCAAACCTAAGAAAAGCAACTCCAGGACTCCAGACAAAACAGATCTCCACCCATCTGGCGGCCAGAAAGGGAAGCTCTGGGCAAAGAGGGAGAGAGAATCAACCTCACTCACTCTGGATGGGCCTCCTGTGTGTTCACAGAGGACAGAGCAGAGTCCCCCAGCTCATCCTCAATATCAGCGTCCCCAGACTGGCTTAGGTCCTGCTAGAAGAACCCAGGATTTTGCCTGGCAGAAAGACACAAGACCTTTGCCAGGATCAGCCTGGTCTCTCACCAATTCATGTCAGGTGAAGACTTATAGTGGAGCTGTTTAAATCCTTAGAAAAATGATTTTAAATGCCTTGAAGTCCAAATGACTTTGGAGTGCTAAAATTTCATAAGTTTCCATGCCTAGCACATAGAAAAGGGAAGCTGGGGTTTCATGGGCATGTTTGTCTAATACCTTCCATCTACACAACCTCACACGCACATCACAAAGCATCACAAAGACTCTAATTTCTCCAACGCTTGGTGGAATCACCTGTCCAGGTACAGATTGGCTGCCACACCGATGACCTTACCAAGGCCAGGAAGCTATCTCGAGCCCCCGTGGTGACTCACCAATGCTGGATGGACAGGACTGAGCGGTCAGTCTCCTGCCTCTGGGGCGGCCTCCTCTACGTCATCGTGCCCAAGGGCAGCCAACTAGGCCCTGTGCCTGTCACTATCAGGGGAGCTGTGCCTGCCCCATACTACAAGCTGGGTAAGTGGAGTGAACATTTAGGGAGGAGGAAGAGTGGCAGATGCCGTGGGAACTGTGGGGTGGTTGCTAAATGGGAGAGGGATGAGCTTTGGTGGAGAGAAAGAGGAAGAACTGTTGGGAGGGAACATGGAGGCAGAAGATACGGAATACCCTGTGTCCATGGAGACTTCAGGGCAGACAAAGAGAAGAGTCAGGAAGCCTTTTCTTCACTTTACAGCCTATAGACGCCTGTGATAGTAGTTCATTATTGCAATGTTCTTCCAGAGTTCAAATGGTATTTTTCAGCTCAAGGGAAGTTGGAGAAGTGGGTGTGGTAGGTTCCATGATATTTATTCCCAGGTAAGACATCGCTGGAGGAGTGGAAGAGGCAGATGCAGGAGAACCTGGCTCCCTGGGGAGAGCTGGCCACGGACAACATCATCCTGACAGTGCCAACCACAAACCTTCAGGCCCTGAAGGACCCCGAGCCTGTGCTCCGCCTCTGGGATGAGATGATGCAGGCTGTGGCCAGGCTGGCGGCTGAGCCCTTCCCTTTCCGCCGTCCTGAGAGGATTGTGGCTGATGTGCAGATCTCAGCTGGTGGGTGCTCCCAGGGAATCCTCCTAGTCAGTGGAAACCATGTATCTATTACTTTGCCTTTTATGAATGTCCAAAATGTGTAAGCATAATTTTATTAGTAAAGCAAGGGAAAAAGATATAAAAGACATTGACCATGATGGGGATGAAAGAATGTTTACATGTGAAAAACAAATTATTGACATCTACAAGGTGAGATTTCACTGGATGGTAAAACAATCTCAGAAAACGTTGTATTGGGAATTCATAGATGGCAACCAGAGTCATTTCAAGGACAACATAGAAAATCAACTATTTTCTTCAAACATAAGCCAGAGTTGAAAATGAAAAGAGGAAATACGTAAGGAGGTTTATGGTAAGTACTGAGTGGTTAAAAAGAAAGAGGTACATAGGAAGAGAAATAAGGAACTCTGGATCCCAAATGGGGAAAGTTCTTTGGACCTCAATTTTCATACCTTCAAATAAGGACAAAAATTATCTCTGTCATAGAGTGTAAATTTGGACAAAAGTAGTATACATGGGGAAGAAAGAATGACACTGTTCTAGCCCTCAAGGATCTCAGATCCAGTCAGAGGACATCATATCTCAGACTGACATGTAAAGGACACTCACACACACAAAATGAAGGTGTCGAATTACAGCAAGAATGACTATGTAAAGTATAACCAAATTCTCCAGGGCCAGATTGAGGAGGAGGCCACAACTCAGGTGTGAGAGACTAAGAAGGGGATTAGGTACTATTCAGTTTCTGACCAAGTAGGGGAAAGCTATTTGCTTTCCAATCAGCACAGAGATTCTGCAATTATTGGGGATAACCAGGATGGTGAAGAAACGTCCAATAATGGAGAAGAATGAAGGAGATAGTTTGGGCGGACCCTCCTCAATGCTCATCTCTTCCTTCTGTGTTCCCAGGCTGGATGCATTCAGGATACCCCATCATGTGCCACCTGGAGTCTGTGAAGGAGATCATCAATGAGATGGACATGAGGAGCAGGGGTGTGTGGGGCCCCATCCATGAGCTGGGCCACAACCAACAGTGGCATGGATGGGAGTTCCCCCCACACACTACTGAGGCCACCTGTAACCTTTGGTCAGTCTACGTGCATGAAACAGTCCTGGGGATCCCCAGGGCTCAGGCCCATGAGGCTCTGAGCCCTCCAGAGCGAGAGAGGAGAATCAAGGCCCACCTGGGAAAGGGAGCCCCCCTGTGTGACTGGAATGTATGGACAGCCCTGGAAACATATCTACAGGTACTGAGCAGAAATTCTGGGAGAAGGGGATGACCAGACCCCTCAGTCATGTAGCGACCTGGATCCCAGTAGCTCTCCACCTCCTTCGCCACTCCACCAGCCTGGACCTCCACCTCCCCTGGAAATGAGAGAGACTGGGCCGCAGGGTGGTGCTTCTTGGGTTATACCCCTCTAAGGCAGAGAGAATGGCACCTGTCTCACTCACCTTCTGATTTTGCAATGTAAGAGGAAATGAAAAATATTATGAAAAAAATAGAAATATAGCATATTATTCAAGGGCAGAAACTCTGTTAGACATTCCTGCAGCTGAATCACAGCTCTTGCCCTCATTGGTTTTGTTCTTGGTCTCCTAATAAGTGTTCCATAAATGGTCATTGCTTTGTTTAGTTTTGTTTTATTTCACCTGAGTTTTATGAGTCAAATGAGTTATGCTTTTTTATAATAACGGAGGGTGTCTGCAATGCAGCTGCATTACAATAAGAAGGCATTGTTGGAGACAAATCTGCTAACAAGGGTCTCATCATCCATCACCCCACTTGAAGCCAAAATGATTTAAAATGAAGAGCCAGTCAACCCAATAGTAGAACACTGAATTCATAAAGCAAGTCTACTTCCTGTGAAATAAACACAAATCCCTGCCCCCTCCCCTAGCCCTGCATTGAATGTCGATGTTTTCAAGTTGTCAATGTTGTTCCCCTTTCAGATCTCCTGCAATGTCTCCCACAGCTCTATGGATAGGAGCTGTCTGGCCCACTTTTCACAGAGGCACACACTATTTTAAAGAATTTAAGCAATCTTTCCAGTAGCCCCCATTTAAGTGAAGGACCTAGAACTTAAAATCAGGACGTAATGACAAGCCCCAGGCTTTCGCATTGCCATACCCTCTCTTAGTTTTTTGTGCCTTTCACTAATTTTCTGAAGAGTGAATGTGAGACAGTCCCAGTCAATGAGGTAACTTTGTATTGCATTCATTTCCATATCCTTAGATAGCCAGTCTGGGGGTATACAGGACCACTGACCACAATGGTAGGTTGCCCCTAAACTGTAAGTTTAAGCCCTAATTCTGTCCTAGTCTGCTACCTACTCACTGTGGAGCCCCGAATATCAGTTCTCAATAGCTCTAGAGAGACCAAGTCTGAGACTTGGCCTCAGGATAAACAGGCACCTTCTGACTCCTCTTCCTGCTAGAGGGCTTCTCCCCAGCATCCGTGCCACTGCTGCCTTAGCTCAGGCCTCGTTAGTCTTCCCTCAGTGTATTCCAGTAGCCTTCTAAGTTGTCCCAGCATCTTGCCTCAATCCTCTATGATCCATCTTCCTTACACTCCTTCCAAAATAATGTTAATACTCTGTCTATCAAATGCTTACAGTGTTCTCTAGCACATATAGGGTAAAATCAAAGCTCATTAGCAGGGCATAGGAGGCCCTTCATGACCAGCCTCACCAGCACCTCTAGCTACATCTCCTACTGCTCTCACCTCCACATTTACCCTTCGGCATGCCAACCTGCTTATGGTTACGGACACAGCTTGCTGTTTTGGCTTCTGTGCCTCCCCTTGTTTGCTTCCTGCTGCTGAATCATGCTGGAACATCTTGTCCATTAGCTGTCAAGTCACCTGTCCAAATTCAGCTCTGTTGGCCCTTTCTCTCCTGGACATCGCCTCCTTGATAAACCAACAGTTTTAGCAATGTGTTTATTTACGTGTGTTTCTCCCTTTGGCCAGTGTTCTCTAGAAGGACAAGAGCTCTTAATGATGTTTGCCTAGCACAGTAGCTGGCGGTGTGTGGGTGTCTAATACATGTTAAATGTTTAATAAATGCTTAATTTATTGATGTATTGATTAATAAGTGTCAAAGAGCAAGCCAGTGAGAACAGATGAGCAATAATAAGGATACAACAGTGAGACTCTGAGGTAGGCTTGGCTTCGGTGGTGTTATCTGTCCTTGGGCTTTTATGAGCTACAGTCAGAGAATGCTCATCTATTAAAGGGAGAGTGGGGATGTGAAACCCCAGATCCCCGCTAACTGGAAATTTGTATAATCTTAGTAAACAAGGGCCTTCTGCCAAGGGCTTTCCGGAGAGCTGCCCCTTATGAAGTATGAGCCACTCTCATTAGCTGCCCCTTATGAAGTATGAGCCACTCTCATTTTTAGCCCCTCGAGACAGGCTGGATTTTTTTCTTTTTCTGCCCTAAATGCAGTGTTCTACAGAGCAATTTTGTATCATTGCAGATAGCCACAGGTCCAAGATGGCTATTAAAAAATAAGGATTATTATGATGTCTGGAAAGTATAGTATTGGAGGTTCGCAGCTTTTAGAATCTCAATAGGCCAGATATGTAGGAAGTGAGGGTTTCTCATCTCAGTCAGGCCCAAACCTGTCCTGATGCTGAGGAAAACACTTGAGATCTGGGAAGACAATTGTTTAAAGATACTAATAGTGGACATTTATTGAGTATTTACCTCTATTCAGACATTAGGTTTCCCCTGAGCACCCCCACTAGATTCAGGGGGTGTTGTTTTGTGGCCAAGAGGAGGAATGAGCCAACAAGATTGCATTATTGTGCAGGGGCAGAGTGGGGAGATAGGGGCACATACCCAGGATGAAGGTAACGATTGAGGGGAGGTGATCATGTGAATGAAATATATTTAAGAACGCACATGTCACGTCACTTTTGCAAACTTGACACCTCATTCTGTTCCTTCTTTCCCTTTTCAGCTCCAACAGGCCTTCGGGTGGGAGCCATTCACCCAGCTCTTTGCTGAGTACCAGACCCTCTCTCACCTCCCCAAAGACAACACTGGCAGGATGAATCTATGGGTGAAGAAGTTCTCTGAAAAAGTGAAGAAGAATCTGGTTCCCTTCTTTGAGGCCTGGGGCTGGCCTATCCAGAAGGAGGTGGCTGACAGCCTGGCCTCCCTACCAGAGTGGCAGGAAAACCCCATGCAAGTGTACCTCCGTGCCAGGAAGTAAAGGATGCCCCACAAGGCGGGAGAGAAAAGGCAGGGTCACGCCATCAACTCCACCATGGGGCTTTGGCCGTGTGCTCAGTATCTGGAGCCTGAATCCCGCTTCCAAGCCTGACCACTAGATGGTGGCCACGGTCATAAGAAAAAATGGAACCCCTTTCTGTAAAAGGTGCCTTGTGCTTCTTTTTATTGTTTTTCTGCCTACGCTATTGCTTTCCCCAAGAGACTCACTTCACCTCTTAGTCTTCCAGAGAGGATCTTTCATCCTGCCATCCTGAGGCTTCTATTTTTGACCAATAGCTCTAAAGACCACGGGTTCCCATAACAACCTGATATCCCTTTCTCATCCCTGCCATCCCTGAATAAGGCTTCTAATTTATTATGCTTTAACAAGTTTTCAAATAGCAAGCGAGACACGCTGGAATAGTGGAGAGAGCCCCAAACACTAAATAAGCCAAATTTTGGGGTAAAAAAAATAAAAAACCAAGAAACCAGACATAGAAGCAGAACCTAAAGCATATTTATCAAAATATCTTTGTTTAAAAAAAATGTCTTCAGTGGTCGTCTTGGCTGGTGGGATTTTAGGTCATTTTAATTATCTTTATAAAACTTTATTCTCTCGAATTTTAAAATTAACATCTATTTCTCTTATAATTAAAAATTAAATGTTATATTTTTTAAAAAGTATAGTTTATTTATTCCAGTAGTAAAACATTATTGAAAAATGTAACTCTTGTGCAGATTCTCTTTAATTTCTTTTCAGCATGAAAATGAGGAGATGGCATGTCTTAGTTTTGTCATCCCATTTTCAGACTCACATGGCAAATGTCATAGAGTTCAGGTATCAGTTCTGCCTGTGGCTTTTTGTTACCTGTTGGAACTCAAGATATTTTGGGGAGTTAATGACATTGAGCTACAAGACTTAATAATGAAAAATTCCACTCGAAGTGTTCTTAGCATCTTCTCACAGGCACCTGGCAAAGCCTCAGCTAATGGTAGTAAAACTTCAATATGGAAAGCTGCAGTTACTTGCAGATATCCTCTCCACAGCTAATTAAAATGACTGCATATATTCATCCACATGCCCACACACACAAACTACAGTAGCATTGGGAATCTAGGAAGTGACTAGAATGGTTGACAAAAGCTGCAAGAACCACATAGAATTAAAGAAAAAAACCAACAACTTCTTAGCATAAAGGCAGCATAAATAAAGTTAAAGAAGGTGAGGTCACTGAGAGACAAATATTTGTAACAGACTGAACAGATACAAAATTAGAATTCAGAATATATGAGTAATTTCTAAGGATAAACAGAAAAGCAAAAAACAGAAAATATTTTTAAAGTATATTTTCAAACAGTTCATGAAAGATGAAATCCAAGTGAGATATTCAGCGTTTGAAAAGATATAATCACACAAATGCAAATTATATATAATAACATATTTTACCCAGAAAATTAGTAAATGTTTCAAAAGCTGACAATATTAAGTGTTGGCAAGAGTGTGGAGAAAACTAATCTTTCATAAAAACTGGAGATCATTTTGGCAGTATCCAATAACATTAAAAAGAGAAACAGCCTATAGTAGTATAAATGGAGGCAGTACTAGGAAGTTCATTGCAAATTGTTGGTAATAGTGAAAAAATATGAAGAAGTTAAATGTTTACTAATATGAATGCAAATAAAAATTGGCATTTAATCATATGATGGATTACTATTTATCAGTCAATAAGAATAGGTCCACCTATGTTAATTAACAAGGAAAGATGTTCAAAACATATTTGTTGAGTAAAACAATTTCAAAAATAGCAGAACTTGGTGATGCAACTTATGGAAGACACAATATAAAGCAAAGTAAACATACGTCAATATGTGTCCAAAATGTCAGGGAACAACCACAATAAACTGATAAGAGTGTTTTCTTTTGGATTGTGAGATAGAGAGAAAGGACTGACATTGAAGGAGATGATGAAAAGGGCTTTTGCCTCAATAATTTGTTTCTTCAAATAAGGAGAATGTACAATTATATTTCTCAGGTAATCAAACATTAAATTTAAAATTTAAGATAACTGCTCCAAAAATAGAAGTAAAATGTATAATCTACAAATGTGTTGAGGAAATTTAAGAAATGGATAAAGCTTAGTAGCAACCAAGGAAAAATGTAAAAAGAAATAAAGCATAAAAATAGAAAATAAAATTAAAAGGGGGTAAGAGCAAGAAATACATTTGAATCATCACAGTATATATGAATGCATTGAATTTCCATCTCACAGAAGCTGTCAGATTGGGTTAAAAACATCTGGATATAAGCTGCTTATAAAAGACACACCTGAAACTAAACATAAAAGCATTGAAAATGACAAAATCAACAAAGTTTTATTTTAAAAAATACAAAAACACAAAAGCAGACATATCAGCATTAATAAGGGATGCAAGTGATTTCAAAGAGGAAAAATTAAAAATGAACATTTTCTATGGATTAAAGTTACACTCTAACAAAAATAAAATTTTTATTAATTTTTATGCCCTGCAAAAACACAATACTGAAAGCAAGAACTGCTACAAAGAAAATAAAAATATGAATTGACATTACATTTGGAGATGGTAATGTATTCACAGCATCCATTGGAAAAAAAAAAAGGATGGAGATGATTTGATCAGAATGACTTACAAGCTTACTTACAGCCAGAAGACAATTGTCCTGCATCCTGAAGACAAGACATTGAGACCCTAGAAGGTTGTGTTCTGCTAACTTGTTGCAAAAATATGAAGTAAAAAGGCAGACATTCTCCAACATGATACATTAACTAAAAAATCAATGTGCAGAGCACACACACACACATAGATAAGCATCTGAGATGATCCATGTCAAACTTTTAGGATTGGCTACCTTGGTCCAGAGGCATGAGACTGGAGCTGGTGGTGTGGTGAGGAGGATGAGTTGCCATTTTCCTCTCTATATTTCTGTATTGGTGTGCATTTTTTCAAAATAAACTTGAATTCCTTTTGAAATATTTTCATAAAAAGGCATTTCTTAAAAGAAAACTAAAGAAAGAAAGGAAAGGAGGAAAGAAGGAAGGAAGGGGATGACAGAGGGAGGGAGGGGGAAGGGAGGGGGAAGCAGGGAGGGAGGGAGGGAAAAGTGAGTAAGCATAGCAGTTAGTATATCAGGTAAATTTCAACAGCTGATTTGACAATATCCTAAGGGCAATATTAATGATCTCAGACAGCTAGTTACCAATATTTAAATCTTGTATAATATCTGTTTACAATGTTTAAGTGTGGAAAACAATGAAAGTAGCTGCTCTTTAATAAGGTTTAATATATGTTAGGTATTTAACATATGTATTATCTCTTTCAATCATTATAATAAACCTGAAAGTTACTATTCTCACTTTAAAGATGGAGTTTGGAAAAGCTAAGCAATTTTCCCCACGTTTCCTAGCTAATAACTGGCAGGGACAGGAAGCAAACCTGACAAAGCAGGAGCATCGTCATCTTGGATAAACACCGCTAATTTATGTTTCAGCTCCCTTTCTAGCCCCATGCATTTCCAGGAAATCACTTCTCTTCTAACTACAAGCAGCCGGAAAGAGCAGAACGGTAAAACACAGATGAGACAGCTCGGGCACAGAGGGAGGAGGGAGCAAAGTCTCTTGGGTAACTGCCAAACTTCATCCTCATACAATGGGCCCCAGTTAAACAGTGGGCCTTAATAAGAACATTCCTTTCCCTTTGGGTGCACTAAGTTAGGGAAGTTAAAAGATAGGAAGCTAAAAGTGGGGTATGCCTGCAGCTGCAGAAGGATATATGGGAACAGAGATACAACTCTCCCTCTCAGATAAGCACAACAAAGAGACACAGAAGCAGTCGAGGCCTCTGATAAACTCTCCCACCTTGAATCCTTAAAAACTCTTAGTCTGTAAGGGAGTATGCCTCTGACCTAACTCGGCCAGATGCCCCTCCCATGTTTATTTTCTCTAAATTAAACCTGTCTGTGACTGTCAAGCCACCTTTTGTATTTCTTTCCTATTTCTTTAATTTTTACTAAACCCAGGCTGGCTTGCTTCCAAAGCCACCGTTGTCTACACACCAGAACTCTCTCACTCAATTACTGAGTCTTTGACGGAACCTACATCTGGGTACATGGTTTTCGACAGGTATATCTTGTGCAAAGGAAGCTTTACAGGATGCAAAGGTGCGAACAATACTGTGTTTAAGAAAGGAAAAGCATGTGTTACTTCAGAGCTGGAAGTGCAGGGGAAGCCACTGAGGACTAAAGGAAAGGGATGGGATGGTATGGTTAGGAAATGTTCGCAAACCACATCTGAGCAGACAGGTAACATGGGCGATAGGTTTCTGAATGCCAATTAAAAAACTGCCAAATTAGGAAGGTACAGCACTAAATAAAAAGGTAAGTGTGAAGTGCGCTGCTGTCATTTTCACCATATTGAAGGTAAAACATCTAACAATTTATATATTTTTTCTTGAAAATAAAAGTAATGAAGTCTACTGGTAGTAATCAAATACATCTTCACTTAGCTTGTTTTGTTTTTCTGTTGAGATTGTATAGAATGTAAAAATACTCTTCTGGATTTATTTCACTCTCTGATAAATATAAACAGGACAGAAATACTAGAATCTAGAAACGATGTTTTCTTAGGATCTATAACATCAAAAAAAGGACTAGAGAGAACTATGTTGATCAGATGCTGTAAAAAACATTTTGAAGACCTGCAGCCCCCAACACTTGAGTATCTTTTTTTTTTTTGTATTTTTAATTTCTTAAATACAGATAAATCATAGTAAATAAGAAAACTTTAAAAACTGTCTCCATCATCACTGAACAATATGGGCATTGATAATCAGAGAGGTGCCTTAAAATTGTAAATGTATTTTTTTTCTTTTATTTTAAGCTGGTAAATACAGGGTAAAATCTCTTTAGATCTCAATCATGCCTATTAGACACACAATTTTATTTAAACTATTTAACCTGTCAGATTTAAGAAAATAATTTGGAAAACTCACTTTTGTAACAAATTGCAGGTACAAAAATTACTCATTTGGAATAGTCAGAATACAGATGCTACTCACCTGTGAGCACAGATATATTCATATTTCTATGTCAGACCAAAATCCTGCTTAAACACACAAACATTCCTAACAATGTCATAATGTTTACTCTTTCTCCTGGCTTAATAAACTATATTTCTGATATTATTGGAAGATTATTGTTAGAATTGAAGGAGATAATACAGGTTGAGCAGCCCTTATGGAAAATGCTTGGGACCAACCAATAGTGTTTCAGATTTTGATTTTTTTCAGGTTATGGAATATTTGCATACACATAAGGAGATACCTTGGTGTTGGGACCCAACTCTAAACACAAAATTCATTTATGTTTCCTATACACCTTTACACAGAGCCTAAAGGTAATTTATACAATATTTTAAATAAGTTTGTGCATGAAAAAAGTTTGTGTACATTGAACCATCAGAAAGCAAAGGTGTCCCCAAAGTGGGATTTTCCACTTCTGGCATTATGTTGGTGGTGCTCAAAAAGTTTTGAATTTTGGAGAATTTCAGATTTTTGATTTTTGATTAGGCCTGGTTTCTCCGTCTTAGGGGACCTAATAAGCTAGGCCCACTTCCACCAAACCACAGATGGAACTCACATGGGGAGTTTACACTTGAAAGCTTTTTTTCTTGTCTATCCACCCAATTTGTTCACTTTTCTATGTATTAGAAAGCATTAATGATAACTATTGAATTTGTGATTTTGAATATTTTCTTTCCATTGTACATGGAAGGTTGACTGGTGTTAGGAGATACTCCATCCTGGGCCACCCATCAATCACCTGTTCTCCTTGGCCAGTGCATAGCAATGTATGTCATCATCATAAAAACCTTCCACATCCAGCCATTTATTAATTATTTTTCATTCATTTTGTCAGATTTGGTGGAGAGAGCAATTCTGGGATCTAGTCTCATTTCAGCTTTTACCTGGAAACTACATTCATGGATCTTGAATATAAACCTCATAAACCTTCCACACAATTATCTCTGTCTCTGAGTCAGATTCCCAGGAACCCAAGCTGAAACAAGTGGAATTTAGCAGCGCCTAGCAAAATTACGTATGAATTTCCTCCGTGACTCAGAAATCCCATTTCCAGTGATATGGCAAAATATAATGATACATACACAAAGGTATGTGGTGCTTGTAACTTGGAACTCCTTGGACAAAGACTTTCCTACTCTACAGGACTGTGTTGAGGACACAGAAAATAAATAATTCTCAAGACAGTCATAAACCTAAGCCACTAGTACATATTTACAATTTTTACTTACCAAATAGTGACAGGTTCTCACTATGTTGCTCAGGCTGGAGTGCAATGCGTATTTGCAGGTGCAATTACAGAACACTGCAGCCTTGGATTCCCAGCCTCAAGAGAGCCTCCTACCTCAGCCTCTCGAGTATGTGAGTACCTGTGCATCAGCATGCCCAGTTACATATTTACTTTTATATGGGCAGCTGCTAACATATTTTAGAGCTTGTAGATTATACCGTGTGTAAGTGTAATGGGTGGCTGCTTAGTATCTGAGGTTAACTTTTCTTCCAGACTCTTCTGTCATGGTATAAAGGTAGCAAGTGCCTTTGGATTTGCTTTTAAATATTAAAGCAACTGCAGTATACTCCTGTTATATAAACATAGGTGTGCCCTTGGGGATAGGATGTGAGAGGAGCTTTTGTTGGTGTTTAGAGACTGCCCCACTCCTTGGCAGGCAGAGTTGGGGCAGGCCAGCAATCAATTCTCTTAAGAAGCTCCAGGGCCTTCCAGCCGAGATTTAAAGTTAAGGAACCTGCTGGGTCAGTCCAAGCGCCTTTGACCAATATTTGTGGCAGGAATGTTCACTGAAAACCTCTAATGGGACTTGCTCTGAAGGCGGGAGGAATCTGAGCCAGAGACTCAGACTCTGACCTTCTGAGACTCTCAAGGAGTTGGTTCCCTCTGGCTCTATTGTTGGCTGAGGCTGGAAGGCTCTGGCGCAACCCCCAGCCCTATATTCCATAGTAGGAAGTTGTCTGCAGGATTAACAGTAGTATATGAGGCTGTCTTTTCTCTTGTTATGGTTTTGGATGTGTATTCATTCATATTTTTTCATTAATTTATATAGTTTACAAATATTTGTTGATCTCTAATGTTAAGTACTCCAGGCACTGAGAATAAAGCAGTAAACGCAACAGGCAAGATCATGGAGCTCTATATTCTGGTTGGTTAGACAGGCCCTAGCAAGAAACAGTGGAGATAGTTATAGAGAGTGATAATGTTTAAGGAATAAATGGAGAAATGTGATGAAGTGAAACTGGATGGACAGTCCAAATTTCAGTATGGCCACTGGGGAAGACTGCTCTGAGGAGGGTGTTTGAGTTGAAACTAATTAAGAAGAATAAATTGGATTTTCAAGAGCTGAAAGAAAGTGCAGAATAGGAACAAATATCTTGATATTTTATAAAACAAGAAATCTAATGTTACATGTTGTGGTCTTTACATTGAGGGACAGTTCTAAAATACTTTAAAGATGTGTATGGATAATATATGTTATCGCCAACCCCCCGATACTCAACTAGAAAATATCTGAGTATGCAACAAAGAGGAAATAGTTAAAACAAATTACAGAACTTATGATTAAAAATTATCATTAAAAATATCATATATAAAAATGGGAAAATATTTTTAAGGAGAATACAAAATAGCAGCATGTAATCATAGCTAGCAAAAATGATGTATTGATTTGTAAAGATATGCAAAGATAGAAGATATGTAAGCATAAACATTTTGGTTGAGGACATTACAGAAATTACAAATATTCAAATACTTTAGTGTCATTGTTTTTTCAATAAATGTTTTAATTAATCAAAACTAACAATGTGGGAATTTATTTTTATACAGTATTAGCTGAACTTTCACTACGCTTCTCTTAGTCCTAAAATATGGACTTAAACGCTGTGGGAATTCCAGTGCCTAGAATAGTGTCTAGAACAGGCACTCACATATTTTAGATAAATTAAAACATGGATACAAGATACTAGAAAGAGGGAAAAAAACTGATATGTTAAGAAAATTTGTTCCTTTCTCCTTTTTGTTGGTGAATCAATGAAAACTATAAATGATATCAGGTCAAAGAAAGATATCTTAATGTGATCTGGGGAGAGGTTTTTTATTTTTTAAGGGTTCTGAAAAGGCAAAGAGGTAATATTAAAAATGTCTTTTTTGTCAATTTATAATTATAGAGTATTCGGAAAGGACAAAAATATTTGAAGATGAAACCAATTACCAACTTAGCCCCAGAGACACATTACTAATATTTTATTATATTTTCTTCTAATGTTTTATTTTCCTGGCTATACATATATTGTTTTAATGAATTTAGCATCATTTTAATGCAGAGCTTTATATCTTAATTTTGTCTATTTTATCATGAATATTTTTCATTTCCTTTAAGAAGTCTTTGAACATAGAATTTTTAATGATTGCAAAATTACTCACTCAATCACTCTAGGATATGCTATACCTTATTTAAGCAATCTTCTATTACAGACACGTTTCTTCCAGTGTTCCACTTAACAGTGAAAATATTGCTAAAAAATATTTGCCTCATAGCCCGGCTTCTCCCTGTCTCCAGTGCTTCTTCCTTCACCTTTCCACAGATGCTGATCCTGGGAGCATGCCCTCACAAACCTCCCACACATGTATCTCTATCTCTGAGTCAGATTCCCAGTAACCCAAGCTGCAACAAGGGGGACTTAGCAGTGCCTAGCGAAATTACATATGAATTTCCCCCATGACTCAGAAATCCCATTTCCAGTGATAGCGCGAAATATAAGGATACGTGCACAAAGGTATTCATTGCAGCACATGTGTAACAGTAGAAGTACCAGAAAAATAACACATACTGGAAACTCAAGTGCCTGTCAATAAGGGACTTATTGAATAAACAATATCATATCCATACACCATGGTATAATAGAGTATACAGTGTATCTCTATACATTACTATCAGGCCATATCCAGGAAATAATGTTAAGTGAAAAAAAGTAAGGAGGAAAAAATGTATAGAGTATGTTATTGCCTTATCCAGTGAAGAGAAGACTACTAATATGTGTGTGTTTGTGGAGAATTAAACCACAAAAAATGCACAGAAGGAAGAAGGGAATTGTTTGAAGGAAACAGGGACAGAATATAGGTTTCTTAAGATCTTACTTTGGACCCAGATTACTATTTTACATAATTTTAAACAAAATTAAATTACACAAGCAATTCCAAAACTAAAAAATAAAATAACCAATGAATTGACATGTACATCTGTTTAGCGGTATAACCACAAAGAGCGGAAGTATTGGAAGTGACTTTAAAGATAGTATTTTGACTTTATATATGTATATAATAAAATATATCATTGGGACAAAAAGAACTGCAAGTAATCTTTGTTACAATAATCATCATATTGCTGGTAGTAGTGCTATTATTCATATTTTGCAACTGTTGTTTGTATATCTTGGGATAGAGCAAATGAGTCGTTACATTGGTGTCTTATAGAACCGGAATTTTTCATCATGAGAGATAGGAGATACAGAGGTAAGATTGTTGAAATCAAATTAAAACCCTGTAGCCCCAAATCTGATCCGAAGTATCAAAATATAAACCAAAAATATCTATTTCTTAGCTGTGCCTATTTAGAAGGCCTAGAAACAAAGATCAAACAATGCACAACTCTAACACCCGGACTGGAGTTTCTAAATGCAAATTAGGACTCCCAGAAATATGGGCTGTACGTTAAAAAAAGAAGGAAGAAAAAAATAGGGCTTTTTGGAGAAATGGCAGTTCTGGGCCTGAGCAGGAAATACATGAGATGAAATTGAAACCTCCTGTTATATTAAAAAACCAGGAAGCCCATTAAGGTTGGGTGGAAAAGATTCAGGAATCATCTTGAATTGGCTCCCAATGGCCAAACAGGACAATTTCAACATCAATAAGGATAATAAATGAAACACATTGTGTTTCCAATCATGATTTCATAATAATTCTAAGAAAAATTTAAACACATTGGTGACCTCTGGAAGATGCTAGGGAAACAACTCAATATTGGAAACTGGTTTTAAAATGAGAAAGAGAGAATTAAATATTTATTTTGCCTTTTCTATATAAATTATACCATAGAGTATGTAATTGGTGAAGGAAAGTGTGTTTTATAAAACTATTCCAAATAACAAATAAAAGGAATATTAAAATTTTAAAGCCATCATTTTATAAACACAAATTAATGGGTCTAGGGCTAAGCAACGGTTATTAAGGACTGCCAACCTCACAGTAAGAGAGAAAATCAGACCATTGTGCTCTACCCAGTAGAAGTGCATACTACCACCTATAAAATAGGTCAAAAATTCAAACATGAATCTGATCAAACCTCTAGATCAGGAGCTGAGAAAGTTTTCCTTAAAAGGTCCGACAAATATTTTAGACAAATATGGGCCATATGGTCTCTGCTGAAACTATTCAACAATGGCAGACACTGTAGCTTGAAAGCAGCCACAGTTTGTGAATGAATGGGCATGGCTGTGCTCCAACAAAACTTCATTCACAAAAACAGGGGCTGGCCTCAGTTTGTCAATCCTGACCTAAAATCGAGATCTAACTTTTAATTTGTATTATACAGAAAATACAAGCAAAAGATGAATATGTTAAATCAGTGGTCCCTAACCTTTTGGTACCAGGGACCTGTTTATAGAAGACAATTTTTCCATGGACCTGGCAGGGGTTTCAGGATAATTCAAGTGCATTACATTTATGGCACACTTTATTTCTATTATTAGTACATTGTAACATATAATGAACTAATTATACAACCCACCATAATGTAGAATCAGTGGGAGCCCTGAGCTTGCTTTCCTGCAACTAGATAGCCCCACCTGAAGGTGATGGGAGACAGTGACAGATCATCAGGCATTAGATTCTCATAAGGAGCACACTACCTAGACCCTTTGCATGAGCAGTTTGCAATAGGGTTCGTGCCCCTATGAGACTCTAATGCTGCCACTGATCTAACAGGAGGCAGAGCTTAGGTGGTAACGCAAGTGATGGGGAGTGGCTGTAAATACAGATGAAGCTTTATTTGCTCACCCGCTGCTCACATCCTGCTGTGTGTTCTGGTTCCTAACAGGCCATGGACTGGTACCCCCATATTAAATGATACCACAGGAAGGCAATCAATTTGCCTTTCCAGGTTTTCACCATTGCGCTTCACTGTGCCTGGAATCCTCCTCCCACAGATGCACACATGGCTCATTCCCTGACTTCCTTGAGGTCTACTTTCAAAGTCCAGACTGAAGTAAACTGTTCAACAAAGAGTAGCTGGTGTCTTCAACAACAGCAACAAAACTGCAAGAAATAGAAAGTTGGAAAGGAAACGCGTATCTTAAAAGAGATATAAAATTTGTATCAAGAAATCAAAATATTTGGGTTTTATTTAAATTTCAATGTTAACACTTTTTTTTTTTTTTTTTTTTGAGACAGAGTCTCAGTCTGTTGCCCAGGTTGGTGTGCAATGGCATGGTCTCGGCTCACTGCAACCTCCACCTCCCGGGTTCATGTGATTCTCCTACCTCAGCCTCCCAAAAAGCTAGGACTGCTGGTGCGTACCACCACACCCGGCCAATTTTTTTATTTTTAGTAGAGTGTTGCCACGTTGGCCAGTCTGGTCTCAAACTCCTGACCTCAAGTGATCCACCTGCCTTGGCCTCCCAAAAAGGACTGGGATTACAGGCATGACCCACCATGCCTGGCCCAATGTTAACACATTTTGAAAAATAAGACAATCATGGAAATAAATGATGACACTAAGGAATTATTCTTTTAGGTGTGATAATGATGACTTGCAGTTATGTTTTTAAAAGACTTCATACCTTTAGAGATATATATTTAAATACTTACAGATGAAAAGACATGATGTCTGCTGTTTGCTTCAAAATAATCTTGGGTGGGGAAGAGTGGGGCTACAGGTGAAATAGGACAGACCTGGAGTTGACTATTTTGGGGACTGGGGAATGGCTACATGGGGGTTCATTGTACTATTCTGTCTACTTTTGCATATGTTTAATATTTTCAGTAATTAAGAATTAAAATAACAAACACACAAAATATACCTTAGAATCGGTGGCAGGGATTAAAAATGTAGATATAGATGAAGAAAAACAGGTTGAGTTAGCTAGAGAGGAGAATCCCTTGGGGCAATTAAGAGGCATTATAGTGATGAGATTTCACCTGCTTGTCCCTTCGCATTAGAATAAAAAAGTTGAAGCGAATCAGATCCACTCCAATGTCTCTGAGTAAACCCATCCCCTCCCCAAATCTCTCAGAAGGGAAGGAATTCAAAGAGGTCCAGAGCTTGGGGCTGAGGGTTCAGGGCACTGCCAGCTGCTCACTAGTATCTGTATGCCCCTTCTTCTTTGTACAGCATCTTGATTTCTTCAGAGACGCCAGTGCCCATTTAAAAATAGCCAGCCCTTCAGATCTCCTGGTAGTTAGGTCTGGAAGTCAGGCCTCCCACTGATTCTACATTATGGTGGGTTGTATAATTATTTCATTATATATTAAAATGTACTAATGATAGAAATAAAGTGCATAATAAATGTAATGCACTTGAATTATCTTGAAACTCCTGCCAGGTCCATGGAAAAATTGTCTTCTACAAAACAGGTCCTGGTACCAAAAGGCTAGGGACTACTGATTTAACTAGGCTGGCCGTTAAAATATAAATAGAAGTCTAGGGCTTCCAGGAAATACATGGTTTTATAAACTAAAAGTAGGTGTATCCATTCCAATTTATTATTGCATGGGTGTAATTATGGTGCCTGGAGTAGTAGTGGCAAACTTGTAGCCATAAGGATAAAATAACACACCATGACAGGGTCAGGCAGTGACAGGGAGACAGAGACTGACCATGGGACATCATAGAGTCACTGCCCCAGAGCTGGACTACCTACCTGTACTTCATGTTTCATAGAAAAAATAAACTGCTACATGGTTAATCTGCTATACTAAGGCTTCTGCTACATGTGGCCAAACATAAGTAAGTAGTCACTAATATCTGAAACCTAAAACATCCAAAATGAGACTCCTGATCTCCTCTAATCCATCTTCTCATTGTCCTTTCACAGATCACTAAACAGCAGCACCTGTGTTTAATTTTTGGTCTTTTTCAGACCAAAAATCTCAACTCCTCTTTTTCCTTACTCACTCCATCAGCCAAGCCTGTTGGGTTCTCCCTTTGAGGTGTGTCCAGAATGGAACCTGTTCTCAGTAGCTCCACAGCTTCTATCAGTCTTGTCTGGGCCACCACCATCTCTCCTGTGGTCTACTTCAGTGGCCTCCCGATTGGTCTGCTGCTTCAATCTTTGCCTCCCACAGTCTGTTCTCCACCATCAATCAGAGGGTTCCTTTTGAAATTTAAGTCACATCATAGCAATCTTCTGTAGAGAATACAAAATGTCTTCCCATCTCACTGCAAATAAGGTCTAAAGTTCTACTCCTGGCCTGTCAGTTCTTACATGACCTGAGCTATCATTCACTGAGTTCCCATCATTCTGGCTTCCCTGATTGCCAGGTGTGTCCCTGGCCAATGGATGAAATGAGTACTCAGACACAAGTATGCAGTGTAAGAACAGCTAGGTGACTGCCTGGCTGTAGTGGCCAGAGAGCAGCCCCGAGAAGCTGAAGCTGCTTGCTTTTATTTACTGCAGGCATAATGCCGAAAGCCTGGAGCCTACACAATCTGTAAATGACTAACATTTATTGTTCCTCATTCAGAGAACATCATGTGTGCGGATGTTCAAATGTCAGCTCCTGGACAACTTCAAACAAACAGGCTTGATCAAGACAAATTCTCCTACACTCCCTTGTACCTACTCCTTGCCCTCTGCCTCAGGGTCACAGAACAGCTGCCTTCAGCTATTCTCCCCTGGAGCTTTGCAGAGCCTTCCGACCTTATAGAAGGGCCACTCCCTTTCCCTTGGAACATACTAAGCAGGCTTCCCTTCCAGGTTTTCTCACCCTCACTCCTCACTCTGCCTGGAATCTTCCTCTCACAGATGCCCACATGGCTCATTCCCTCACTTCCTTGAGGTCTCCTTTCAAGTGCTACCTACCAGACCAGCCTTCCAAGCCGGCCATGAGCTTGTTTGCACTCATCTCTATTCCCCTTTCATCTTGGTCATCCTCCGTGTTGCAGAAAACTGCATTTCTTTGGTTCTCCTGTTCCCTGGATCCTGGTGGGTTCAGCCCATGGGAGAGAGAGGTAGAAGACTGAAATCAGGAAGGAAGAAGGAAGGAGTTTAAGTGTTTGCTTCTCTCTTCAGGCTGTATTTCTGGTAACCACAGTGTCTTCTCTGAGACTCCAGCTTCTAGCAGACAGACCTTTCATCTGTGGTTCCAGCTCCTGCTGGGAAGGCATAGCATGGCTCCAGCTTCTACCAGGTGGCCGCAGCACCTGGACTTCAGTAATACCACCATCTCCCTCTGCTGGTTCTGCTGTTGCTGATCTCTGGGTTACTTGCTGTCCCCTGTGTGTATTTTCAGCTCCTCTATCATGGGTATAGTCAATTCCCCATACTAAATCCCTTCTGCTAGCAACGCCAACAAATCCTGACCAATCCAACTTGGTCTGACTGATAGGACTTCCCTGAACGTCTTAAATAAAATAGCCTCCATCAGCCTTCCTGTTGTCATGCTATCCACTTATATTATCATCTTTCATGGATCTTAGCAATACCTGATAGAGCACATATATATTAGTTTCCTTAATACCTATCTCTCCCCTGGAATACAAACCTCATGATGGCATGACTTGCCTGCCTCGATCTCTGCTAGACCCCCATTGTCCAGAATGCAGCATGATCAACAATCGGTGCTCACGCAAACAAACAAATATTCTTTCATGCATTTAAGAGGTACTGATGAGCACTCTCTAGGTTCTATTTACTAGACATGGAGATAAAGTGGTAAGACAAGCTTTTCTATTCAGCTTTGGCCACAGGAGGGAGTGGCAGTGAGGGCCCAGCCTCTCTTGTGTCTTGGTGCATTTTAATCATCCTGCTTTTGATTTGTGGTGGTTCCAAACTGAGTGGAAAATCACCTGTATTGCAATGGAAGCTTGTTGAAGAGGGGAACCAACTCTATTGTTTATCCTGAGTCAGACTCCCTAAGAGGGGAACAAACACTCACCTGACATGGAGTGGGATCTTGGGCACCTTCTTAGAGACCTTGAACCGGTCTCTGTCCCCATAGGTGTCAGTGAAGTACACTCCGGCTACACTTGTCACCTTGTTCCCAGGGAACCTGGAGAGCACCTTGTCAGGGCCGTGCTGGCTGGCCCAGTACCAGGCCTGGCCCCCGATTAACAAGCCCCCTCCATGTTTCACAAACTGGATCAGCGTTGCAGTCAAGGTGTCATTGTAGGCATTGATACAGTAAACCCCTAGGGGCTCTCCTGGTTCTGGCTTGACCTGTGCCTCAAGCCCAGCATCCTGTAGGATGTTTACTAGAGGTGCCAGGGATGGATGCACTCCCACGGGAGCCCCAGGACAGGGACAGAGCCAGCTCACTGCATTGAGGAGAAACGGAGCCAAGCCAGCATGCGACAGGTAGCCCTCATGGGACACAACCACGAGGCGGCCTCGGCCGTAGGAGGAGGCAGCAATGAGCACCTGGCCCTTGTCATTCACCATCACGGGGAAGGCGGCTTCTCCAATAAGAAGGAGTTCACTGGGGATGGGGCCTCTGGGGACATCCCAGCATGTCACTCCATCCATGAGGGCCTCAAACGCAGCAGCAGCAATGGTCGCCATGGTTCTATCAGCTGCTGCAGGGGGAAGCAAAGACTTTCATGTATTTAAGAGATACTGATAAGCACTGCTGGTCAGAACAGATGAAGGAACAGGTGAAAAAAGCAAACAACTAAATGCATTCACCTCCAAATTTTACTGGATTCCCCATTGTGGGCCAAGCACTGTTCTAGCACTGGGAGTACAGCAAGAAACAAAACAGATAAGGTTTCCCTTTTCGTGATTTGAATATTTTAGAAGGAGAAAGATAATGAATAAATAGGTAGATAAACAGATAAATAAAATGCAACAATCACTATGATGAAAATAAAACACAATGATGTGACATGGAGGAACTGGAAGACTACTTTAGATTGGGTGATAGGAAAGGACTCTGACAAAGTGGCATTGAAGCTGAAACCTGAAATGCAGTGAGCAAAGGGCATTCCAGCAACGAGACCACTTTGGGGTGGCTGAGAGCCAGGAGCAGGGAGGAGCAGGACCCCAGGAGGAGGGAGGGACGGGCTAGATCCTGCAGGGCCAGTAAATCAAGGTGATAGTTAAGTTCGTGTGCCTGAGTGGACACAGTGCTTGATTTTTTTGAACAGAAAGGTCATAGACCTGTCAAAACATGCCTTTCTTCTGACAGCTTTGCTAAGTTGGAAAGTGCCCCCTAATTTATCAAATCTGCCCTAATGGAGAGGACCCTCCTCTATTTGGTAGCATTATGCAGTTTCCGGAGGTCTTTTAAAATTGGCTGTGCCTAACACTGAGACTATTTGTCCCTTTAAGCAGCCCCTCTTGGATAAATGACTTCAGTCTCAGTTTCCCCATCTACAAAAAGAGAATAATACAGCCATGGGAAGATTGTTTTTGAAGATTAAAGGAATATGGATAGGCCAGGCGCAGTGGCTTATGTCTGTAATCCCAGCACTTTAGGAGGCCGAGGCCGGTGGATCACCTGAGCTCAGGAGTTTGAGACCAGCCTGGCCAACATGGCGAAACCTGTCTCTACTAAATCTACAAAAAATAGCTGGGCATGGTGGCGTGCACCTGTAATCCCAGCCACTTGGGGAGGCTGAGTCATGAGAATTTCTTGAACCCTGACGGTGGGGGGCGGAGGTTGCAGTGAGCCGATATCGCACCAGTGGACTCTAGCCTGTGCGAGAGAACAAGACTCTGCCTCAAAAAATAAAATAAAATAAAATAAAATAAAATAAAATAAAATAAAATAAAGTAAAGTAAAATAAAATAAAGCAAAGAATATGTCTAAAAATGCCTTGTCTGGGGTTGGTACACATACAGTGAGCACGGAATAAACGAGAGTGTCTGTCCCTTTGCTGTCCTTTTAAGTTTCCCGGGTTGCCGAGGGCAGCGTTGCAGATTGCAGTAGTGCAGTAGTCCCCTGGCTGCCTGTGCCGCCTCCCTTTGCGCGTCTCTGACGAGCCCACTGTAAGGGACTTTCCTCTGTGCTCTGATGGCTTCTCACCTCTGCAGGTGCACAAGGCAGCCCTGAAGTAGCGGTGAGTTGACACTAGGGTGAGCTTCGCCCAGTAGAGCGGGGATTCACAGAAGAGTGCCCCGTGGCTTTCCCGAGGTGCCCATCAGAGGTCCTCGGAAGGCACCCGGAGGAAAGGAGCGCCATGTGGAAGACCCTCAGCCACATGCTCCTCCTGGCTTTCCCTTTTTTCCTTGTCTCATTCTCTCCACTTCCTCATTTGGGCTTTTTGGTCTCACTTACCCCCAAAAAATTACCTGCAGGTAAGCCCTTGCATAAGGCTTTGCTTTAGGGCAGAATCTAAACTAAAACACACACCAAGCCCTTGAGCCACAAGTGCCTCCTTCCTCTCTCCCTCCTGCTTCTATATGCAGTCAACCACCTCATTTGGTTAATCTCTCACCATCTCTCTCAAACATCAGTCCCTTTAGTTGGCAATCATTCCAGACTAAACCAATATGGTTTTAGTCCCCAGGATGTATTCTCATCCACAATCGTCCTCTACAAGAACTCTAACAAGAACCGTTACATTTCGTCCACTCTCTCTAAGGTGAAACTTGCAGAGCGCCTCAGCCTGGCTTCTCCAGGGTCTGGCATGCCAGTGATTACTGGACGTTTTTCCTGCTACTTTCTTCCACTAAATCTCTCCAAGCTCGGAAAGGTTGGCATTCTGAGCATGCCCTGCATTTCCTGTAGAATTCCATCTCTTCCCCTCTTCCCTTCCTATCCGCCACCTTTTTCTTAATACTGCTCGCGGGAAAGAAATTCACAAAAGAGAGCCAATACTCGGCAGAGCATTGAGAATGCGGGTACCTGATCTCAGCCTCAGAAGTTACCAGTGGAAAAAAGCAGCCGAGAGAGATCCGGAAGCCTGAGCTCAAGATCGTGCTAGCTACCTCCCAGAAGACAAGCGACGTCTTTCACTTCTGGGGCAGTACCAGTTTGACAGGATAAACAAAAACAGACAAAAAACCTCAGATGAGTAATATGTCCCGGAAAGCTGACCCAGCATTCCGCAACGAAATGTGCCCTCGTGCACGCACACACCATGCACATCTTTGTCAAATTCGTAATTTACAAGTTCAAATAGGAGGGAGAAACGTGTTTTGAGACAAACTGCAAATAGCACCAGACTAACAAAACGAAATGAAACCAAAGACCTAGACCTAAGAAGGGAGGGACACCCCCTGACGCCGGGTATGGTCTGGGGCCTCCAGCACTTTGCGGCGACCCCCAGTGCCCTAGGTGCTCAGCTACCGCCCCCACCCCAGGACCCGCTGGGATTGGAAAACTCACCCCTGAGCAGTGCGGATACCTAGGGACTGACGGACAGGCTCTGCAGTGGCGCCCGGGGGACGTGTCGGAGGCGAGGCGGGGCGGGGCGGTCCCGGAGGCGGGGCGGTCTCGGAGGTAGGGGCCGTCCTGGAGGCGGGGCCGTCTCGGAGGCGGGACTGTCCTGGGGACTGAGCTGTCTCGGAGGTGGAGTCCTGCGGTCCCGGAGGCGGGTTGTACCGTAGGCGGGGCTCTCTCGTAGGCTGGCCGGTCCTGGAGGAGAGGCTGTTCTGGCGGCGGGGCTGTCTTGGAGGCTAGGAGGTCTCGGAAACTGGGCTGTCCCGGAGGCGGGGCACAGGCTGGGGTGAGGCGGAGCCGACCCTGAGGCGGGCCCGGGGCGCGGCTACCGCTCCCTGAGCCACGCCCGTGGTCTCCCGTTCCATCGGTGGACCCCACCTCGGGCCGTGCTGCGGGCTCTCGGGGCGCCTACCAGGTGAGCGACCCCGCCTTCCCGGAGGGATGCTTTGGCCTGCATGGGGCCCCAAACCGGCTCCCTCAGGGTCTCTGCGGGTTCTTGGATGCGAGAGGGGACCCAGCCAGTTTGCTGTCGCACTTGATAAGAAAAGCAAACCCTAAGTCTCCAATAAACCATATTTGGGGCGAATAGTTCCCTAACAACAACGTATGCCACGGGGGAGGCCCCGCGTGGAATCAGGCTCCCTTCCCTCCGATCTTGGGGTGGGCTCAGCAGAGCCGGTAGCCGCCGCGTCGCCTCCGTCGCTCGAGCCTCTGCGTGGAGGGCTGCCCCCTAGTGGTCAGCGGCGGGCCATGCACTTCGAGCCCGGTGGATGCTTATGGCCATGGTGCGGGGTGCTCAACTAGGGCATTTTTCTCTCAAAGTATCCACAGAAATGCTGCCCAGCAAGTTATATTCTTGCTGGGAGGGAAACGTGCCTGTGGCATCACTAACACAGATTCGTCCGTGCATGGCTGGAGAAATTAAGCTAAAGCTATAGAGTGGCTGGTGCTCGAATTTCTACGCAAGAGAGGTCAGAAGGTGAAAATCAAGGTGGAAGGGTGTGGTCAGGAGGAGGATTTGGTGTAGTCTGGAGTTTAGGAACGTCTTACCTAGGAAAGTGATGACTGTGCTAGAATGAGGGGAAAAAAGTAGTCTGTCTGCATTTTGCCCACCATTGAGTCCTCATTGCCTATTTTCATTTCTGACATAGAATAGGCTTTAGTTTCTTAATAAATAACTAAATATATGCTAAATAAATAAGGATATAGTGAACGTCCAAAAATATCTGTCGAATTAGTGAGTTAATAACTGACTCTTCGGAGGACTAGTGGAAATCTGATTGGCAGAGGACCAAATACATTCAGGTTTCAGAAATAAAGAGCAAGGAGAAACTTACACAGAAAAGAAATTGTGGATAAGACTTGCCAGAATTTGGAATAATTCCGGCTAGAAATCCAACGTGCGGTGAAGTACGTTGAGTTCTTAGGCTTCATATCAGGGAACAACTGACCTTTGGGAGCTGAAGTGGGAGATGGACATCAAAGAAAGTGGGTCAGTAAAGTTCCACGTTAAAAGCTGATTCAGGCCCGGGTGCGGGGGCTCACTCCTGTAATCCCAGCACTTTGGGAGGCCGAGGTGGGTGGATCACCTGAGGTCAGGAGTTCAAGACCAGCCTGGCCAACATGGAGAAACCCCGTCTCTCCTAAAAATACAAAAATTAGCCGGGCGTGGTGGCACAGGCCTGTAATCCCAGCTACTCGGGAGGCTGAGGCAGGAGAATTGCTTGAACCCGGGAGGCGGATGTTGCAGTGAGCAGAGATCATGCCACTGCCCTCCAGCCTGGGCGACAGAGCGAGACTCCGTCTCAACAACAACAACAAAAAGCTGGCTCGGTATCTTTTGTGTGTTTGTACTCTTAGGTTTTAACCAGTCTCCACCTACATCAACCTCACTCCTCATGGTAAAGTACTACTATTGTTCTAAATTAACTCCTGAGAGTATTTTGGTGTTGCTCTAATAGAAGAAAGGGGCTTTAAACAAAGGTGATTTTTCCAGGGTCAGAGAGCAGAAAGTACCTGCCATTTGGGAGCAGGAGCTGCCTGAGGAATGGAACCTAACAACATAGGAACGGCATAACGGTTCCTAAAAAAAAAAAAAAAAAAAAAAAAGAAGAAAAAAAAGATTAAAGATGGTAACCAGCATTTACGTTCTGACTAAAGGGTGTCCGAGAGAGAATACAGTCATGGGTTCTTAGTTTCTGTTTTTGGTTAGGCGAGTAAAACCCCTTCCTCATCCCTCTTTTCCCCTTTCACTAGAGACAGAAACTAAAAACCGTGAGTTCAGGCAGCTAGAAACCTAAAATAAAAGAAAACGGAACAACAACAACAACAACGAAAATAAGGTGGGTTGGATAAGCTTCGAAATGGTTACTGCTTATGCAAAGGTGCAGGCCCCAGATCTTTCCTTTTACTTGGGAGAAAACAGACGCCATTCAGTGAAAGTCAACATATCCTTACTGGACACTTATTCTGTGAGGCACTCTGGGAGATAGAAATGCTATTATGGTCAGTAAATCTAGAGAGGAAAAAAGACAAGAAAACAACTATACCAAAATTGGCTACGAATCAGGTGCAAGGGCACATAAAAGAAGCAGCAATTATTTCTGATCAAAGGATTAGAGAAGAATGTGCACAGAAGGTGACACAGAAACTCAGCTTAGAAAAATGTATATTTGCGGGGAGATAAAGGGGAAGGTATTACAATGTGAGGCTGTATAAGATTCCAAAGCACAGAGATATGAATGTGAAAGGCTTAATTTGAGAAAGACAAAATGTTCATAGTGACTGAAACTTGTTAGCAGAACTTGCATAGTGCTAGCTCTAAAGAGAAGTTTGGGCTCGGTTTAGAGGGACTTTGGCTGCCATACTAGGGAGTTTGGATTCCATTCTACAGTGTGGAGGAAGATTTTTTAAAAGCACCATTTAGTAAACACTGTGGTTGCCTCCTCAACATCTATTCCCTACACTACCCCTATTGTCCTTTCTAACCAAATCCATTTTTTTTTTAAATCAGATAATCCACCTCTCCTTTATGAGATTCAGGGGACAATGAATTCATCTCCATTTCCAAGGATAGATCTGTATTAGCTTAAATCAGGCAGGCTAACTCATACTTCTTGTGCTTCCATGACAGACTCTTTCTGGGTTATACGTAATAAATATACATAAACAATATTATACTTCATTGTCCAGCATATACAAGAGGCAAACACAAATCAGAAATATTATCTTTACCAGTGGTACATGAGTCCATTTTTTGTCAAATAGAGAGCAATTGCTGCAGTAATTGCAGTTTATCACTAAGCCAGATGCAGGGGTTACTCATACATATGCCTTCTAATTGTGGGCTACTATTAATAGTCACTGGCCTCCTTCTTAAATTATTTTCAGTCATGAGCTTAACTTAATGTGGTACCATATATTCTTTCTTTTAAGGACCTTAAGAATCTGGGAAGAATTAGCCACACTCTAATTTAGGAACAGAGATGGATGAATCCACCTATGGACATTTACTGGTATGAGTCACTGGGGAAGTTCACTAAGTCACTATTTAAGATGATCCAGAACAGGTGTCTACAGCTGCCTTAAGAATGAGTACTATGGTGGTGATGAAAATGTTCCTCTCAGATGTCCAACTGCAGGGGGTGGGTATGAAATTGCCAGATGGCCCCAGCTGGTGTGCTCTGGAATCCTTGGCGCCAAGGCCATGCTGCCAGGGGCTTCTCCAGGCTGGTGATCAAATGTAGTGAGGATCCTCAGGCAGGCCCATTCCTGGAAGACATGGGACTCTCCCGATAGGTGAGTTTGGCTCAAGGACTCCTCATGGTCCTGAAAGAAACTCTCTGAGACCTGTACTTCAGTGGAAGCCTGTCTTTCCTTTGCTGTCTCCTTCCCAAGGGTTAAACCTACATTGCAGTCTAATGGTGGCTCTCCCGGCCTTCTCTGGCTCCCTCGACATTTTCTCTCACAGGCATTTCCTTTAATAAATCTCTCGCATATCTGATCCTGTCTTGGCTTTTGCTTCTTGGAGGACCCAGAATAACACAAGTACTGTCATAATTATATCTCCTCACTTTAAATCTCTCAAGTGTAATTACTAAAATTGTGTTGTAGTGGAAGTAAAAAGCAAGGTTACTAACTTGAGAGTATCTATGAAACACTCACCCATTAAGTTTCATTCTTTAGTACATTTATAATAACTTTTATTCCAATTGTAGCATGGTCTATCTCCAAGGGCAAGTTCCTGCCTGCGTCTTCATTGAAAACAGTGGAACTTTGAAGCAATGGGGGAGTTTGTTGCTTCTCTTGACAAGCGGCCAGCCCTAATTCAGAGTTATAAAAGTTTTCATATTCTGCTTTTGGCATATCTGTAAAATATACTTGGGCATACATTTTTTTTTTCTGTTTGGATCATAAGTGTGTGAAACATACGTGGTAAGAGCCAGTTATATTCCAATCACAGAGGATGTCTTGGAACACATCACTGCCACTCCAGAGGTACTGAAACTTTCTTCCTCTAGTAAGGAACATGGCTGGGGTGGGGGTGAGAAGAGATATTCTTACATTTATAAACTGTTTCTCCCACCACCAGACCAGACATAAAGTTTGATTTTGTCCTGAAGATTTCAGTTGTCTTGGAGCCAGTGGAACTGAGTTAGCCCAAGAATGAGAGTGGATGTCCTTTTTCTCTTTCTGCCTTTGAAATATCAGGTTCATTGGACAGGTGCTCAGTAGATCCAATTTTCTTTAATTGCACCTACATCAGTGTAATATAAATGTCTTCATTCACAATCCCACAAGGGTTGTAGATATCAATATGCCGGGGGATAGTGTATGGGAATTGAGGGTCATAGTAGGTCAATACTATATAAGAAAATTCCTACAGAGAGTGAGTCTAAATCCCTACTCCTATGGGACCAGCGACTATTATTGTCTATTTATTTACTTATTTGAAAATGTAAACAATTATTTCCCAGTGGACTAATTACAAAGTTCCTGTGACATCAAGATCATTCCTTCTCAAGGCTTTTCACTATATATTGAGACGTGTAGTCTTAATTTCATTTTGGTTTGCCCCAAGACTTCCACCAAGTCTAGGGGATCTGTACGGAACTATCCTTTCCCAAGGTACATCATGCATACTTTCTGCTATTATTTTTTTTTTCAGTCTGTCCCTTGTGGTCAATCAAGAGAAATGCAGACTTGAATCTCTATAAGAAGAGCAAAGGTTCTCCCTTTTTAAACCTTTGAACTGAGAAAAAAAAAAAAAAGCAGCAGCTCCTGCCATCCAGAAACTTGTCTGGCGCTAACAGCGAGGCCATATTGTTCTCCCATTGTACAAAAACAATTTCAGAAAACATCAACATCAGATAAGGTCACTCAGAGACCGTCATAAAGTAAGGCACATACACGATCACCATGCAACCCACAAAATACTGATCATCCTTCTGTTATCTAAAATGAGTAATTGCACGTTTTAGAAACCAATCGCAGCTTTATTCTCATTTTATTTATGTTTGTTTTTGAGACAGAGTTTCACTCTTGTTGCCCAGGCTGGAGTGCAATGGTGCAATCTCAGCTCACCACAACCTCAGCCTCCTGGGTTCAAGCGATTCTCCTGCCTCAGCCTCCTGAGTAGCTGGGACTACAGGCATGCGCCACCATGCCCGGCTCATTTTGTATTTTTAGTAGAGACGGGGTTTCTCCATGTTGGTCAGGCTGGTCTCAAACTCCTGACCTCAGGTGATCTGCCCACCTTGGCCTCCCAAAGTGCTGGCATTACAGGCGTGAGCCACCGCGCCCAGCCTTTATGCTTATTTTAGTCAGCTCTCCTTGTATATGTATTGAGATCGTAGTTGTAGAATTGTTTCTGGTTCTTGACAGTATGTCATCCAAAACAAAGTCTCCCTTCTTCAGACACTTCCCAAAACTATCCAACCAAAGCCCACAGCCTATAATAGGTTCTTTCTGACACCTTTTTACTGATATACCCACAGTTCTCTATGGTGTGCATTTTCCCTAGCTGCAATGAACAACAGATTCAACTTGTTTAATTATAGGTGTGTTTCCATTGGTCTTTGGCTGTAGGGCATTAATAATATTATGTACTATTAGTGCGTTAATAACATTAATAATGCCCTATAGCCAAAAGTACTTTTACCAGTGCTAGAGATCCACCAGGCTTTCTGCTAAAGGTCACTCTAACATTACGGACACAAGTCAGTTGTTTGTCTTTTAATGCTTTTGCCAGCTGAAATAGTTTATCTCAGAGTTTTCTATGAGGATCTGAGATTTAACTCTGCTCTAGGTGTTGAGAGCAACAAGCTCATAGTGCCAGTTGTCTTGTGGTTAAATGTCAAAAGCCTTAATTAAGGCTTATTATTTTCTCCTTTGGAATAGGTCGGCTCCAAGGCTACACAAGCAGCAAGAAGAAAAGGAAAAACTCTGTTTTATTAAAGCTCCACTTGCCTATCTACCTTGGTGGAGGGTCAAGAAAAGGTTTATAACCTATTTGCAGGTTTTAGGCTCCTGTTTGCAGCACAGAAACCACAGACAATAGGTAAGCCTGCTGGGCCCTGGCCTACGGGGTCTGTTCAGGAAGAAGAGGGGTCTTCTCTCTAAACCTGTGAGATCTCTTCTAGACTCTTTTATAGATTGTTTTTATATTGTATGTTTGATCATTTTGTCCTCCCCTAACCCCCTTTGGGCACTATCTCAGACTTTAAATATTCTAAATAATTTTGGCAGTATGTGAAAAATGAATTTTATGTCACTAAGCGATTCATGGAAATATTTTTTTAGTACCTACATGTACAGATTTCTTAACCAATTATGTATATTTGAGTTCCTAAGAATAGAAGTAACTTTTTAATGACCTTCAGGTACACATATTTGTATTAAAATAAACCTTGGTTCCTAACTGTCATCATTGGTCACTACATTTTTTTTTTAAGTTGCAGTTGCTTCCCAACCTCTATTTATCTTTCATTTATTTACTCATCCCTTTATTCTATTTATTTCTAATATAATGAGCACCTATGAAACGCACCCAGTCTCAGACTAGAACATCAATAACTTAAGCTACTCAAGCTTTCCTATCAAAGAAATGCTTCTTTATAGCACTGAAATGCACAAGAATCCAAATGCATAGGAAGCATTTCTTAGTTGTCTTGATTGTGAGGTAAGTTGTTTTTTTGTGTAGTTAGAAGAAAGATCTCTGAGAAGTTGAAGATCACCTTCTGCCCACTCCCTATTGAAGACTGACTGCAATGATGTGG
The DNA here is from genome assembly GCF_000001405.40 of Homo sapiens. Lineage (NCBI taxonomy): Eukaryota > Metazoa > Chordata > Mammalia > Primates > Hominidae > Homo > Homo sapiens. The sequence goes on from NC_000007.14 coordinate 143,843,971, forward strand.
GTCAAAGAAAGAAATCATTTTAAGAGTAGAAGCCAAGCAGGAGTACAAAGGCTTTGTAAGGAGTAGAGAACAGAGGAGGGAAATAGTCTTGAAAGAAGGGATAGAGTCTGCTACTTTTGTTGGCAAAAAAGAGTCAACATCTAAGGCCTAGTTACCTGTTGGCCTGTTAGGTACATATATTAGGTGAGGTTTTGACCTTGGGTGAGGACATTGCTTTAAGCACTAAATAGATCAGATTAATCCCGTGAAGAGGAGATAGGAAGTGTTTCTGATAAATACTGCTTTGAAGATTGGCTGCAAGGCCAATACTCATCAGAGAGCTCCAGTTGACTATGGGAGTTAGACAACAGAGGAAAGTAAACTCATGACATATTTCAATTTCTCTTTACAGAAATTCAGACTCAGTGGTGTGGCAGAAGATAAAATAATTTGGGTTATTTCTGTGATAACATGGGCAATCTGGAAACTACTCCCATTTGTGAGGGTAAATCTCTATTATGATACATGGAAAATAGGACAGATGCTAATTCAGGTAAGAAAAGGTCTTTGTATTATACAAATATTTACCTTCAGACAGAAATGTTAATGAAGATGGAGAAGGAACAGTTACCAAGAAACTAGGGATAGTAGGACACAAAAAACCTGGTAACCTGGTAGTGAGTATGAACCAGTCTGGTGCCTTGCCTCCAGAGGAGCAGCAACTGAGCAGAGCTACTGGACAACCAGCCCTGCACTTCCCTAGAGCACAGACCAGCTCACTATGCAGCCACCAAGAGATAAGCACCGAAGGAGAACCTACCAGCCATGGATCCTCAGAAAACAGACCAGCTAAGTGCCCAGCCTTCAGGGGACAAGCAGCTGAGTGGGCATACCAGCCACACAAACTTCTGCAGCCAAGGCCACTGAGGTACTTGCAGGCACCACTGACATTAACTACAGCTAAAGAAGCTGCATGGAGACTACACTACTGCATCCACCCAGAACAAAAACAAATGTACCTTACCCAACCAACATGCTAGGACACATCTGCAGGTGTAAGTCTTTTCCGCTGAAAGTTATGCTACCAAGTTAGAAAAGGTGATTATTCCATCAGATGCACAGATGCCAGTGCAGGGATACAAGAAACATAAAAAAGCAAGGGAACATGACACCACCAAAGAAACACAATAATTCTCTAGTAACTGACCCCAATAAAAAAATAAAAATTTATGAATTGCCTGAAAAGGAATTCAAGATAGTGAGCCTAAGGAAACTTGGTGAGACATGAAAGAACACAAACGGATCATTCAACAATCGGGAAAAACAGTTCATGATCTGAATGAGAAATTCAACAAAGAGAGAGATATCATAAAAAAGAACAAAATAGAAATCTTGGGGCCAAGAAATTCAATGAATGAAATAAAAAAACGCAATTGAGAGCTTCAACAGCAAAATAGATCAAACAGAAGAATTTTTGAACTTGAAAACAGGCCTTTTGAAATAGTCCAGTCAGAGGTAAAGAAAAAAAAAAAGGAATGAAGAAGCCTATGGCATTTATGGGACACCATAAGTGAACAAATGTTTGCATTTTGGCAACTTAAGAAGAAGAGATGAAGAAAGGCAAAGAAAGCTTATTTAACAAAGTAATAGTTGAAAACTTCCCAAGTCTTGGGGAGATATGGACATCCAGATCCATGAAGTTCAAAGGATCCCACAAAGATTCAACTCAAAGAGGTCCTCTCTGAGGCATATAACCAAACTGTCAAAAGTCAAAGACAAAGAAAAAAATACTAAAAGCAGCATGAGAAAAACATCAAGTCACATATAAGGGAATTGCCATTGGACTATTAGCAGATTTCCCAGCAGCAACCTTGCAGGCCAGGAGAGAATGGGATGATATATTTAAAATACTAGAAGAAAAAAAGCTGCTAGCCTAGAATACTATACCAGCAAATCTTTGCTTCAGAAATGAAGGAGAAATAGTCTTTCCCAGATCAGCAAAAGTTGAGGGAACTCATTACCACTGGACCAGACTTACAAGAAATGCTTGAGTATTTCTATTGGAAAAAAAAGTTTTCATGATAATTGCTACCATAAAAAAACATGAAGTATAAATCTCACTGCTGGAGATAAATGCATTATCAAATTCATAATGCTTCATTACTGCAATGGTGATATGTAATGTTTCAAACCTCTAGTATGAAGGTTAAAGGCCAAAACAGCTGGGTGCTGTGGCATGTGCTTGTAGTCCCAGTTATTTAGGAGGCTGAAATGGAAGGCTCATTTGAGCCCAGGGGTTTGAGTCCAACCTGGGCAACATAATGAGACCCCATTTAAAAAATAATAATAATTAAAAAAATGCAGCTCTGTGGGATGCCAAAAAGTGAAAATTGTAATAATGATTATAGCAATGATAAGTTGTTAAGGAATAAACAATATATAAAGATGTATATTAAAGCAACAAAATTATAAATTTGGGTGCAGAATGAAAGTCTAGAGTATTGGTATGCAATGAAAGTTAACTTGTTATCAGCTTAAAATAGTCTATTATAAGTATGAGAGATTTTTAATGTAACCCCAATACTAATCACAAAGAAAAAATTACAACAGATATACAAATGAGAAAGAGAAAGGAATCAAAGCTTAACACAACAAATACCCTAATCAAGCCACAGAGATAAACATGAGAGAGGAAGAAAGGAACAAAGGATAAACAAAACAACCAGAAAATAATGAACAAAATGGCAGAAGTCCTTACCTATCAATAATAACTTTGAATGTAAATGAAATAAATTCCCAATTAAAACATACGCCGTGGCTGAATGGATTAAATTAAAAAAAAAAAAAAACAAGATTCAGCAACATGCTGCCTACCAGATAGGCACTTCACCTATAAGGCCACACATAGACTGAAGTGAAAGAAGAGAAAATGAAATTCTGTGAAAATGGAAACCAAAACAAAGCAGGGGTAGTAATACTTACATCAGACAAAATAGACTTTAAGTAAAAAACTGTCAAAAGAGAAAAGAAGGTCATTATATAAAGAAAGATAAAGAAATCAGTTCAGCAGAAGGTTAGGACAGTTGTCAGTATATGAGCACACAACACCAGAACACCCAATATATAAAGTAAATATATAAAGCAAATATTATGAGATCTAAAGGGAGAGAAAAATTAAAATAAAATAAAAAAGGACTTTAGCACCCTCTTTCAGCAATGGATGGATCATCTAGATAGAAAATCAACAAAGAATTATCAGATTTAAATTACATTCTAGACCAAATAGCCCCAGCAGATATTTATAAAACATTCCCCTCAATAACTACTGAATGTACATTTTGCTCAACAGCACATGGAACTTTTCTCCACGATAGAATATATGTTAGTCCACAAAACATATCTCAAGCAATCAAAAAAATCAAAATCTTATCAAGTATCTTCTCTTACCACAATGCAATAAAAACTAGAAATGAATACCAAGAGGAACTATGGAACATATACGAATATGTGAAAACTAAAAACAAGTTTTTACAAAACCAGGGCATCAATAAAGAAATTAAAAAGAAAATTTAAAAATTCCTTGAGACAAATAAAAGGAAACATAATGTACCAAGACCTATGGGATACAGCAAAAGCTATTCTAAGAGGGAGTTTATAGCAATAGATGCCTACATCAAAAAAGTATAAGAATCTTTTATAAAAACTTTATGTGGCACCTCAAGGAATGAGAAAAACGAGGGCCAGCTGAACCCTAAACTACTAGAAGAGAAGACTGATAAAGATCAAGCAGAAATAAGTGAAATAGAGCCTGAAAATAATATAAAAATCAGTAGAACAAAAAGTTGGTCCTTTGAAAGATAAACAAATGTTTTAGCTAGACTAACAAAAAAGAGAAGACTCAAATAAATATAATCAGAGCTAAAAAAGGAGATGTCACAGAAATACAAAGGATCATAGAAGACTTTTATGAGCAATTATATGCCAATAAACTGGAAAACCTAAAAGAAATAAATAAATTCCTGGACACATGCAACCTACCAAAGTTGAACTACTATGAAGAAATAAAATACCTACACAGGCCAATAATGTGTAACAAGAATGAATCAGTAATAATAAGTCTCCCGTCAAAGAAAAGCCCAGGAACTGATGACTTTACTGCTAAGTTCTACCAAACATGTAAATAATAATATCACTTCTTTTCAAACTATTCTAAAAAGTTGAAGAGGTGCAAATTCTTCCACACTCATTCTATGAGGCCAACATTATCAAAACCAGACAAGGATAACTTGATAAAAAGAAAACTACAGGCCAATCTCCTTTATCAACATAGATGCAAAAATCTTTAACAAAATATAAGTGAAACAAATTCAACAGCATATTGAAAAAATAATTCACCACAATCAAGTGAGATTCATCCCAGGGATGCAAGGATGGTTTAACATATGTAAATCACAAATGTGATACATCACATTAACAGAATGAAGGACAAAAATGACATAATCATTTTAATAGACAAAGAAAAAAATTTGATAAAATTTAACATCCCTTCATGATAAAAATTCTCAGCAAATGAGATGTAGAAGTAATATACCTCAACACAATAAAGGCCATAAATGAGAAGCTCATAGATAACATCATACTGAAGAAGTTGAAAGCTATTCCTCTATGATCTGCAATAAGACAAGGATGCCGCATTTATCACTTTTGTTGAACATACTACTGGAAATCCAAGCCAGAGCAATTAGGCAAGAGAAATGAAAGGCATCCAAATAGGAAAGGGGGAAGTCAAATTGTCCTTGTTTGCAGATGACATTATCTTATATATAGAAAATCCTAAAGATTCCACAAAAAACTGTTAGAATAAATAAATTCAATAAAGTTGCAGGATACAAACTCAACATGCAAAAATCAGTAGTGTTTCTATATGCCAGTAGCAAGCTACCTAAAAAAAGATATCAAGAAAGCAATCCACTGACAATAGCTATAAAATAAATACCCAGGAATATAGTTAACAAAGGAGGTGAAACATCTTGAGTGGAAACTATAGAATATGGATAAAATAAATTGAAGAGGACACAAATAAATAGAAAGATAATAATGAATTGCAAAAATTAATATTGTCAAAATGTCCATATTATCCAAAGCAATTTACTAATTCAATGCAATCCCTATTCTTCACAGAAATAGAAAAAAAAATCCTAAAACTTCTATGGAACCACAAAAGACCCCAAATAGCCAAAGTAATCCTTAGCAAAAATAAAGCTCGAGGCATCACACTACCTGACTTTAAAATATACTATAAAGCTATAGTAACCAAATCAACATGGTACTGGTATAAAAATAGACACATAGATAACTGAAACAGAATACAGAACAGAAATAAATCCATGCACTTACAGCCAACTGATTTTCAACAAAAGTGTCAGCAACATGCATTAGGAAAAGGAGAGGCTTTTCAATAGATGGCACTGGGAAAACTGAATATCCACATGTAGAAGAATAAAATTAGACCCCTGTCTCTTACCATATGTAAAAATTAGTTCAAAATTGATTAAAAACTTTAATGTAAGACCTGAAACTGTAAGCATCCTAGAAGAAAACATGGGAGAAACAATTCATGACATTGGTCTCGGCAAGAATTTTTTGAATAAGACCTCAAAAGCATACAACAAAAGCAAATATAGAGAAATGGTACTATATTAAACTAAAATGCTTCTGTACAGCAAAGGAAACAGATTGAAGTTAACTTAAGGAATGGGAGAAAACATATGCAAACTATGCATCTGACAAGGGGTTAATGCCTAGAATATATAGAAAAATAACTCAATAGCAGAAAAATAAATAATTCCATTTAAAGATGGGCAAAATGCCTAAATAGACATTTCTCTAAAGAAGACATACTAATGCTTAGCATCACTAATCATCAGGGAAATGCAAATAAAACCATAATGACATATCACCTCAGTCCAGTTAGAATGGCTATTATCAAAAAGACAAAAAATAACAAATGTTGGGGTAGATGTGAAGAAAGAGGAAGTCTCATATGCTGTTGTAAATTAGTCCAGCAATGATGGAAAACAGAATGAAGGTTCCTAAAAAAGTTAAAAAATAGAAGTACCATATGATCCAGAATCCCACTACTGAGTATATATCCAAAGGAAATAAAATCAGTTATGTGGAAGAGATATCTGCATTCCCATGTTTATTGCAGCATTATTCACAGTAGTTGCATGGAATCAACCTAAGTGTCCATCAGTGGATGAATGGATAAAGAAAATGTGGTGTATATATACAATGGAAGACTATTCAACCATAAAAAGAAATTTTGTCATTTGTGGCAACGTAATTGGGCCCAGAGGACATTATGTTAAGTAAAATAAGCCAGGCATGTAAAGACGAATACTGTACAATCTCACACAAAAGTGGATTCTATAATTTAAAAAGTTGATTTAATAGCAGCAGAGCGTAGAATAGTGGTTGCCAGAGGCTTGGGAGGGTAGTGGGGCAGGGGAGATGGGGATAGACTGGTCAACAGGTACAAAGGTTCAGTTAGATAGGAATAAGTTCTGGTGTTCTATTGCACAGTAGGGTGACTATAGTTAACAATATTATATTGTATATTTCAAAATAGCTAGAAGAGAGGATTTTGAATGTTCTTACCACAAAGGGATGATAAATGTTTGAGGTGAAAAATATGCTAAATACCCTGATTTGATCATCACAAAATATATACGTGTATCAAAACATCACACTATACCCTATAAATATGTACAATTATTATGAGTCAATTAAAAGTAAAATAAAACTTAAAAAAAAGAAACTTGGTGGCCTAAAGATTTCCACTAGATAGTTGGCTGTTTCTCCCAAGTACAGGGTTAAAAATAGCTGAAAAGAGGTTACGATGTTCAGGGAAAGTAGCAAAGAGTACACCAGGGAGACTGACAGATGGACAGAAATGCTCTGACACTAGCTGGCCTCATATAAGACTAAAACTTATTAAAGCTGTCAAATGAAGGGGAGTGCAGGAAAGCTTAGGGCCCTGGATGGTCCTTCTTGAAATGTTTCCCAGAACAGGGGCAAACATCAAAGGCCTTCTTGGAAAAGAATGAAGTTGGCAAACTTCATTCAATGCTGTATTGGACATTCCTTCATTCAACAAATATTAAAACCCACTAGATGGTAAGCTTACTCAGCAGACATGGTGAGATCAGCAGTAGGCTTTGTTTTTTGTGGAACACCTATACAAACAAAAGAATGTGAAGTGTGTTTTAATAACTGGAAGATACTTAATCTGGTTGGAAATAGAGACTTGTGGGGAGATATCATGAGCCTGGACACATCAAGTGGACCTAGATACTTGAGGACCTTGAAAACCATTTTAAAGGCTTTAGCTGGGTTGCATCTTAATCAATGTGAAGTCACTGGAAGATTTTTATTTGGGTTTATTAAAAATTTTTTCAAAGTAATACATGCACAAGGTAAAAAATTAAATAGTACAGAAGGACTTAAAATGAAAAACACAGTTTCCCATCCCACCCTTTTTAAATCTAAATCCCATTCCCTAGAGGTAATGCTTTTAACAATATTTATTTTAGATCGTCTGGTAACTTTCTAACTTTAAATAATATGTTTGAGCAATAATTTCTTGACTTACTGACTTTACAACATCTTTAATAATTCCCCATTACAAAAGATAAGGATTTAACTTACACTATCGCCACTTTCCTTTGTCCATCTCTCTCCAAATGTCTGATAGTTACATCACTTTTTAATACATCTATTGGTTTGATTTTATAGCTTTGAACAATACACTAATCCTCTAGTTCTTGTTCCATTAACTGAAGATCTTTTCATCCCCACTTTGAATATATAAGTATCTCTACCTTTGATTCCACTTCTCTTCCTCTAATTCTCAATCTCTTTCTGCTTTCTTTCCCTTTGTCAGCATTAATTACTTTCAACTTCAGTTCTGAATAAAAAATGAAACCTTTCACACTTTGTTAATAGGCTGATCTGAACATTGAATACTAATAAATGATATCCACATTATTTTGGCTATTTAAATACTTCTTACTGGGAGCCTAGTATAAGCTAGGATATTTTCTTCCCTACACACCCAATATCATCATGCCTGTGCCATAGAAAAGGAAATGTACCTATCAAGCCTCTTCTTATTCTTCATGAATAACTCAAAATCATGCCTCATTTTATTTTGCTCTATAATTGGACCTGAATTTTTTGACATATTGTTGATTTGTCTTTCTTTTTTCTTGACTAAATAATCTTCTCAAGCATCCCAGCTCTTCAATGATACTATCTATGGCACTGAATGCACATTCTTCCCAGAAAGCCCGAGACAGTATGCTCTCA